>NC_000002.12:58675200-58978231 GCF_000001405.40 Homo sapiens
GTTTGTGTGTATGCGTGTGTGTGTGTGTGTGTGTGTGTATGTGTGTGCAAGCACGTGTGTGTTGTGGGAGGGGTAAGGAGTAACGGAGGAGAAGGTCATTATGCTGTCTATGGGGACTTTCACCAATTTCTTTTCTGCTCTCTAAAATTCACCTCATTCACTTGAGGTTGAGGCAAGTGTCATTCAGAAAACTTCCATTCCTGTTTACTGTAATACCTGTCTCTAGTCTATTCTAATTTTATGAAAGATTTACTTTCAACCAAGATTGTACTCACTGTAAAGGAGAGTCTGGTGGATATTTCTTTTCTCATCACAGATAAAAATTATCTTTAAAGTACACCTACCTACAAATTCTGTACAATAGTACCAATTTGAAATACATAGCTTGCTAACTTGAATATCTTATACATTTGTGGTAAGAAGTGGTGAAGACATTTAAATTATAATAATCCTGGAGATGTGAAGGGTTATCCAGGATGGAGGAACTTTGCGTAGGTATAACCATTGCAGGGAGGCCTACTTGACAGAGGAAATAACTTGCTTGCGGGTTAGGGAGTGATAAACTATTGTAAACTAAAGACTCTTACATTCATTTAAATAGAAAATCAATACCTACAAACATGTTGCCAGATATTTGTTATTTATTACCTTCCTTAGTAAAGGTATAAGACTAATCTGTAATTAGCACATTTACATTCTAAATGGAAAGCTCTCAAAGAACTTACAAACATTAAATGAGCAACTACTGTAAGGTTAAACACTGTGCTGCCCCACATGGCTGCTCTTGTGGTTTTAAAAGTGCCTAGATGACAAATCACATTCTAAAATAGTATATTTCTCTCTGCACATTCTTCTAGCACAGAAAGAACACACTAACATCTTACCAAAAGTTTAAATTTGACTAATTCTGAATTAATGTAAACACATCATTAACTCTTATTACCATGATGATTATTTTTATTCAGGGTTATGCAGAATTATTTGCACTTGTCCCTTAACTAAAGGAGACATTTACTTTTCTTTCATTTCTTAACAGAATGGAGAAATGCATCTATCCTTTCTGTTGGTTTTCAAATGGTGTTGACAAAAATATCTTTGATCTTACTTAAGAACAGAATGTGTTGGCCAGTTAAATAGCAATGATAACTAAGAGCAAACTCTCCCCAGTGTTTCGTATAGCTCAGTGTGTCTAAGGGAATTGTGTGGCTATTTTACTGCTGTTTCTCGACAGGTTTTTCATAGTTCTTTTTATAGCTAATATATTGTTCTGGAGCTCCATTCTTTCTAAATACTGGGGAAAAATGAGAAATCCAGGGCTACGGCCATGCCTGTGGCAGTTAAGTATTGATGATGAAATTGGTGAGGCATTAAGGAAGTGTGAGTTGGTAAGCAGGTGATACATTTAAAAGGGAAAACAAAATGGGAAGAATGGTCTGTTGGATGTTGCAAAAATTACAGAAATATCTTTAGCTTTATGCACCCTTATGTGCATAATGGTAGCAGCGTTGGTGGTTGGGGCATTGGAGTATTTTTACACTGTTTGGGATGTTGTCCTAAGTGAATTGCCTTAATATTTTCCATAGAGGCAGGAATCTGAATAAATACTATATATGTTCACATATGTATCCTTGTATATGTTTTTGATTGGAAACAATCCTGTCATAAAATACTTGCCTACTCTGCTAAATTAATATGAGTGTATTTATAGTCATGGGAATGATTTAATGTTGTTTGATAATCTTCTGTTTTATTTATACTGAAAAATTAAGTAAGAAGCAGAGAAAAACGAAAAAGTGGTTTGTTAAATTCATTTTACCTACTGTTCTTTTTTCTTTTCTTGTATTTTCTTCAAATTAATCAATTAAAATGCACAGATGTTCAATTAAAACTATAAAAATTTTCCATGGCTACAGCTGTTTTGAAGCTGCATTGTTGAAAATTTAACATATCTAGTAATGATTCCCTCTCAGAAGAAATTAAATTAATGACTTTGCTAGATTATTTTCCATTTGATAAATTAAACAAAATTAGAAAAAAAACTGAGACTTACTCTGCCTGCTACCTTTATTAATTAGCATGATAGACTAGCAGATATTAATATGAAAAGGCAACAAAATGGAAAATGTTTCTTATTTTCCAAGTGAAATACCTTCAGGACTGCAGTTTATCTTATCGGCAAATGGTTACATGGTATAAATTATTAAAATTTTACCTGTAAATAGCAGACAAATGACAAATTTCATAATCCCACATAATAGAAATGGCAGAGATGTGATTATGTGGAGCTGATATAAAAATTTTTTTCACATTTTTGTCCACCTTGTGCATGCTAGTCAGTGACCCTTAAATAATAAGTAGAGAAACAGGATCTTTTTTCTCAGTCATGTTGCTTTATCTCCAGGAAAATTTGATTTTTTTTCTCATTTTCAATTTATTCTTTAATTTTTAAAGATCTTTCTAGTCATTTTTTTTCTTATGCCAAAACTAGTAGATGGTCATTGCATTAGGGTTCTCCAGTACCAAAAGGGGTGTGTGTGTGTGTGTGTGTGTGTGTGTGTGTGTGTGTGTGTGTGTATCTAGAGAGAGATTTATTTTAAGGAATTGGCTCTCATGATTGTGGGAGCTGGCAATTCTGAAATTTGTAGGATAGATTGGCAGCCTAGAAACTCAGGCAGGAATTGATGTCGTATTGAGTCCAAAGTCTGCAGGGCAGGACGAGCTGTCTAGAAACTCAGGCAGAGTCTGTATGCTGCAGTCTTGAAACAGAAAGAACGACATTCTTTCCTTTGAGACTTTCAACTGATTGGATGAGGCCCACCCACATTATAGAGGGAAATCTGCCTTCCTTAAAATCTACCAATTATAAATGTTAATAAATGTTAATCACAACTAAAAAATTCCTTCACAGCAACATCTAGACTGGCTTCTTATGAGTTTAAAATGTTTTAAACTTCATTTGCTTATGGATCCCACAGATGACAGCCAGCTTTTACCTGCACATGAGGGGTAGCACTGTCAGCATGGTAGGGTTGCCACAGGCAGGCACCGGGCAGGTGATCAGGGCACACATTTACCATTCGTTGTGACAGTAGGATAGGCACCATATGCTGGGCACCATAGCCTAGCTAAGTTGACACATAAAATTAACCATCACACTAATTAAGAAAATTTTAGAAAATAAAAACTAACTAAAAACACATGTAATAAAGCCCTTTCAAATGATCTCTGCTAAATGTTTCAGTGTATATCCCTAGAGTCTTCCTCTTATGTTTATGTGTCTTTTCTTTTTCCTAAGTTAAGAATAAAGTGTTTATTCTATTTCATAAGTATTTATTTAAGAGTATATACACCTCAATTCATTGAAATTATTTATTTTTCAATCATATTTAATAACTTCAGTATAACCGGTTGAAGGGCTTGTTGGATCCTTAGGTTTTTAATTTTACGTGGACATTATATCTTTTTACATGTATCTTTTGAATATATTACTACATGTGCATTTGCTAGTTAAAAATATGTACATTTTAAAACTTTTTGCATGCATGGCTAAATTGCCTTCTAGAAATGTACCAGTTTACATTCCCAATATCAGTATTCCAGAGGCCAGTTTCCTTCCCTACCTTTCAATATTAGGTGTTAGAATAAAAATATTCCAATCCAAAAGATAAAAAAGACCTTGCATTATTGTTTTAATTTGAATTTCTTTTATTTCTAATGGTGTTACATGAGTTTCTTATGTTTATTTATATTAGTAGTTCTTTGTAAATTGTCTACTTTGTCCAGTTTCTATGAAGACGCTTGCTGTTTTCGTATTATAAAAACTGTATGCCGTATGTATATACACACACTGTTATATATGGAATACATATATAACTATATGTATATTATAGTTATATATGACATATATATGTATGTGTGTATATATGTGTGTATAGATATATGCACACACAGTTGTATATGTGTGTGTGTATATATATATACGCACAGTTATATCTATATATGAGAAATGTATGGTATATATATGTGTGTGTATATATATGCCATACATTTATATATATGTGTATATACATACATGGCATATATATGTATATATATATGAAGTTTATCAAACTGAAGTAAAAAACTCATCCATTTTTTCTGTTATGTTATACTTTTGACGTCATGCATTTCAAATTTTTTCTGTCCCAGGATGGAACACCCTCTAGTGCCATTGTAGTTTATTTTCTTTTTGTAAGCCCTGTAATTAAATTTGATGTGTGGTGTGAGGTAGGGATTATTTGTCAGTTTAATATTTTGTTTAAACTACAATTTTTCTATCTACTTCCATACCTGAGGGAGTTGGCATGCAACAGACTGAAAATGCTAGAAAGAAGCAACTTTACAGGTTCATATCTGATTGACCCAATAAAGATCACAGTGTTTCTGCACCATTATTATTCTGTCTAAAAACAGAATTAAAGGTAATGGCAGTTGCCTCCAGCATCCAGGCATATGAATGCATGTGTATGTTTATGTGGATGTGTGTAGATATATGTGAGCATGAAAGAGAGTATGCCTATAAGATGATAATGAGGAATCTGAGAATCATTTTTAATATTAACTATGATCTTATTAGCTACAATTTTTTCAAGACTTGAGAATTTTTCTTTGTTGACAATACTTGCATCTTTAATCAGTAATCATGCTAGATCAAAAAGTACTAGACTACAGTATTTTAACTGCAGCAGTATGTATTTATGTACAAGGGAAGAATATATCCATGGACAAGATACTGCCTCTAATTCATGGACATATTCTGCCACTGAGCAAATCTTGTTACCAGTGACTATGTTGACTTGGAAAGGTTATGACACACATCCCTAAGCACAGTGCTGTTTGTGACCCTATTGTAATTTTTACTATATTTATGTACCCCCATAGGAAATGTCTTCCATTTATTTTTTACAAAATGATAAGTTATTGGGTATAAGAAAGTGCAGTGACTAAGATAAATCTTACCCTATATAGTCTTATTTTTTTCCACTCATCTTAAGAATCCTCATCACGCTCATCATCAATTTTTCATCACTAAATATGGGACAAGAAGCAATGACCTGAAATTTCAAGTGAGCCATATTAAGAATTATGATTTTCATAACTGCCAGAAGTAAACAGGCTTAGTATTTTGTCAATATGTTTTATATATTTACCAATTCGTTTTAGATTGCTGTCTTTTTTTTTTTTTTGAGATTTTTTTTTTCAGAGTTATCTTGAAGTTTATTTTTAGTGTGGCAGAATTCCTTATTAATATTTGTGGGTTTTCATTATGCATTGCACTGTTTTACACTTGAAATTTTTAGGAGATATGGCTTAGCATTTTACGTTTTATCAAGCTCCTCAGGATATTGATATAGCTATTCAGTTTCAGAGGAACTAGACTATTGCATTTGGCTTTAGAATTGGTATATTCAGAGAGATTTTCTCATGAAATGTAAGAAGATAGGTTAAAGTGCCTAGCACAGAGCCAGGCACAGAGTAGGCATTGTACAAATGTGCATTACTTATTTTATCCGAGTATTAAGGGTAATTAGCAAACTGATGTGGACTTGGTCTGTTCCACATTTGTGGCTGTTTTTAAGGAAGCTTCCATTTAAATCCATACATTTTACAGTGTATGTTTTGTATTACTAATCTCTATGAGCTTAACATTTGGAGGACAGTGTTTATTGACTTTTTAGTGTGAACAGCTCATCATTTTGTTAAAGACTGAATATTCTGAACATTCCAGGAACATAAATATCCAAAAGTACTACTTGCATTAGCTAACAGAACTGCCATATATTTGCACAGCTGTTAAATGGTTGTTTTAAAATTTTAAAAAATACTTCAGGTGTATGCAATTATTCAAATTATGTAAATATTCAGAGGTTTATACCAAAATAAGAAGATGCCACCTTGTGGTACAAAAAAAAAGATTTTTAAGTACATTTGTAATATGTGGTTGACAAATCTTTGGAATAACATGTGGTTGACAAACCTATTTGAGTAAATAGGAAAAGCCGCTAAAATACTCATGCTCATGGCCAAGTGTTTTATTTTTATTTATTTTTATTACTTTTGAGATGGAGTTTCTCTCTTGTCACCCAGGCTGGAGCACAGTGGTGTGATCTCGGCTCACTGCAACCTCTGCTTCCCTGGTTCAAGCTATTCTCCTGCCTCAGCCTCCTGAGTAGCTGGGATAACAGGCACCTGCCACCATGCCCAATTAATTTTTGTATATTTGTATTTTTTTTTTTTTTTTTTTTGTAAAATTGGAGTTTCACCATGTTGGCCAGGCTGGTCTCAAACTCTTGACCTTAGGTGATCTGCCTGCCTCGGCCTCCCAAGGTGCTGGGATTACAGGCATGAGCCACTGTGCCTGGGCACTAAATGTTTTAATTCAGCAACTATGTCACAAATAGAAAGATCACAAGGGGAAAATTATGTGGGAGTGTTTTGTTTTATGAAAGCAGGGGTCTATTCAGTAGTATACAGTTGTTACAAAGGTATTACAAGGGAACATTTCAAAGATGTTTAATGGAATATAATAAACTCACAACATGTATTTTAAAATTAAGATCATGGTGTATTTTCAAGAACGATTGCTACATTTTGTTCCTTTAGGTAAAGAGTAAAATTTTATTATGATTTCACTTTAATGAACATAATTTAAGACAATCTTTTACTTGGATAATGTCTATATATATTAAGATGATGTTTTGTTAAAAAGATAAAGATTACTTGAAATGAATTATGAACTATAGCATACACCTAGATGATGAGTAGATTTCTTACATCAGATTATGTTGGAACTTCTGAGAATGAGTCAATCTTGGAAATCATGTAGTTTGATATTTTATCTTTTATTGGCATGTAAACTGAGGCATAGAGATGTTAAATGACTCGCCCAGGAACCCCCACTCCTCAGCAGTTTCCTTCCTTTATCCTGTGCTGCTTCTTCTTCCCCAAACTACATTTGAATTGGCCTCTTGTATTGAGAATCTTTGTTTTCCAGAAAAAGAATAGATGAGAATCCATTTCTCCCCTCTGAACTTTTCATTAAATGTTTATTCTGTTGCATTTCTCCATAAGCATTTTTATATTGCCATTTTCTCCTCTTATTAGAATACTTAATATAGTTCCAAATAGTACCTAATTGAAAACAGTTTATCATATCCCTTTTTATTTATTAGTATAATAGTATCCCTGCAATCTGGTGGCAGGAAAGTACTGCACTATTTTATTGTAATTTATCCCATTTTAAATGTTCATTTGGGTCTATGAAATTGCATAATACTTTTAATACTTTATAGAAATACACTTTCAGAGTATGTGTTGGAAAAAACGCCTCAAATATCAGAATTGGCTTTGAAATTTTGCAGAAATAATATTGGGGGATATTCCAAATCCAAACTTAAATGAATGAATCGGCCTATCATTTCAAAGATTTTGAAAGGGTGGGCACCTGTATATGTACCAAGGAAATAAAAGATCATATTTATAGACATTTATCCATGACAAGTGACAAAAGAAGTTACTGGCAGGCCTTGTTATAGAATCTCCAGAGCATTGTGAGTGGATTTATCAGGAAAAGTATCACACATAGACTTGTATCTATCTTATTTTTATTATTTTTCTTTTTTGACTTTTATTTTAGGTTCAGAGGGTACCTGTGCAGGTTTGTTACATGGATAAATTGTGTGTTGCTGAAATTTGGTGTAGGAACGATCCCATCACCCAGATAGCATACCTAGTACCCAATAGGTAGTTTTTCAGCCCATGTCTCCCTCCCACCCTTTTCACTCCAGTAGTCCTCAGTGTCTGTTGTCTCCATCTTTGTGTCCATGCATACGCAATGTTTAGCGTCCACTTATGAGTGAGAACGTGTGGTATTTGATTTTCTTTTCCTGTGTTACTTTGCTTAGGATGACGGCTTTCAGCTGCATCCATGTTGCAGCAAAGGCCACAGTCACATTCTTTTTATGGCTATGTAGTATTCCATGGTGTATATGTACCATATTTTCTTTATCCATCCACCATTGATGGGCATATAAGTTGATGCCATGTCTTTGTTATTGTGAATAGTGCTGCAGTGAACACACAAGTGCATGTGTCTTTTCGATAGAACAGTTTATTTTCTTTTGGGCATATACCCAATAGTAGGATTTCTGGGTTCAATGAAAGTTCTGTTTTGGCTGGGCATGATGGCTCACGCCTGTAATCCCAGCACCTTGGGAGGCCGAGGTGGGGGATCACGAGGTCAAGAGATCAAGACCATCCTGGCCAACATGGTGAAACTATGTCTCTACTAAAAATACAAAAACATTAGCTGGGTGTTGTGGCATGCACCTGTAGTCCCAGCTACTCAGGAGGCTGAGGCAGGAGAATCGCTTGAACCCAGGAGGTGGAGGTTGCAGTGAGCTGAGATTGCACCACTGCACTCCAGCCTGGTGGCAAAGCAAGACAAAAAAAAAAGTTCTGTTTTAAGTTCTTTGAGTTATCTCCAAGCTCCTTTCCACAGTGGGTGAAATAATTTAAATTCCCATCAGCAGTGTACAAGTATTCCCTTTTCTCCACAACCTCACCAACATCTGTTATTTTTTGACTTTTTAGTCATATCCACTCTGACTGGTGTGAGGTGGTATTTCAATGTGGTTTTGTTGAATTATATTTAAATGAAGTCTTGAGGAATAAGAATAATTTAGATAATTAGGTGGTGCTGAGGTGGGTACTTTAGGCAGAAATGGTGTGGCCCATGTCTATTTCTCTTTGGGACATAGTGATTAAAATTTGTTTGGAGATGGAGGACCTTACATAAGGGTAAGGTTATTCAGGACAGGTGATGAATTAATTGTGTTTAGCTGTTTTCCATATGTAATGGAAAGCCATGAGTGACTTTTAGTTAAGAAAGTGTTATGAATGAACTAGCATTATGATTGAGGATTGTACACAAAAGTGTGGTTTTGAGAAAATAACATGAAATGAAATGAATGTGTGTGAATGTCTCTTAATTCAACAACTAATCTTTCTATTTCCAGATGTGCTTTGATTCACAAGTATCATAGAAGAAAATATTTTTATTACCTTTATTTGGTTAATCTTCCTTTCTTCATTTATTGACCAGAAATACGGCAATAGAAACTCTATACTCCCTTTGCAACAATTTATCTTTTCAACAGCACCATCCCTTAGGACAACTGTCACCTTCCAAGTACAGATTTACTTAAAAGAAAAAAAGCCTAGGGGTGTGTTATGGTTTGAATTTGTTTCCAGAAAACGTGTGTTGGAAACTTAATCCACAATGCAACCGTGTTAAGAGGTGGGGCCTACTGGGAGGTTTTTAGGTCATTTGGGCTCCCACCCTCACGAGTGGATTAATGTTGGTGATAAAAGGGCTTAAGGATGTGAATTTGAGCTCTTGGTCTCCCTTACTCTTCTTTGCCCTTCCACCATGGGATGACAGCAAGAAAGTCCTTACCAGATGTCAGCTCCTTGATCTTGGTATTCTCAGCCTCCAGAACTGCAAGAAATAAATTTCTATTGTATACACGTTACTCAGTCTGTGAGTCTGTGGCATTCTAACATTACCAAACAGACTAAGACAGGGTGGTTGCACAAAAATGTGGTAGAGTACCCCATCGTTTATATACTGTATAGGTGTTAGTAGGAGGTCAGTTAACTCAGTATAGCCCAGAATAGGCATCAAGAAGCTAAAGAAAACCTTTCTCAAAAATGTCTTTGTGTTAGGTGGAATAATGGCTCCTCAAAGGTGTTTATGTTCTAATCCCACAGACCTGTGAATGTTAGGTTATATGGCAAAGGAGAATTAGGTTTGCAGTTGAAATTAAGACTGTGAGTCAGCTGACCTGAAAAAAGAGAAATTATAGTAGCATCTCTGGGCTAAGCATGTTAGCACTGGATTATCTGAGTGAGTCTAAAGTAACCATAAGGATCCTTAAAAGTGAAAGACAGAGACAGAAGAGAAGGTTGAGATGATAAAATGTCAGAAGGACTCAACCTACCATTGCTGGTTTTGAAGATGAAAAGGGGGGTGTTTGGTCTAAGACAAGAACGTGGGCCTCCTTTAAGAAGCTGGAAAAGGCTGAGTACGGTGGCTCAAGCCTGAAATCGCAGCTACCCAGGATGCTGAGGCAGGAGAATCACTTGAATTCAGGAGTTCAAAGCTGCAGTGCACTATGATTGCACCACTGCACTGCAGTGGAGTGACAGAGTCAGACCTTGATCTCAAAAAAAATAAAATAAAATAAAAAATAAAAAAAGCTGGGAAAAGGCATGACAAGGAAACAGTACTCTTTAGAAGCTTCTGAAAGGAATATTGCCCTCTTGCCCTACCTTGACTTTAGTCCAGTGAGTTCTGCAACAGACTTCTCACCTACAAAACTGTAAAATAATACATTTTTGTTGTTTTAAGCCACTCAGTTTATGGTAATATGTCACAGCACCAGTAGCAAATAAATACCGCCCAGACCAAAGATCAAAGGATGAGAATGATCCTCCTCCTCCTCCTCATCTTATAGTTATTCTGTGGAGGACTGACTGTCTGTCAGGTACTCAACATAATCTCATCCAGTTCTTACTGCTACCTTGCTGGCAGGTATTATCTCTAGCTTGTAAATGATAAACAAATGCTGTTAGGAATTTAGAAAGAAATTCTCCCCAGAGCCTTGAAGTTTGTATGTGACAGAGATCAGGTTTAAACTGTTTCATCTGAGGACAAAGTCTCATCCTCTTTATTTCAGCAGGAGTAGTTGGGAGGCAGTAGAGTTTTGGGCCTAAGCAGGTTGGCTCTGGAGTCAGACTGCCTGGTTTGAATTCTTGCTCCTCATCTTGTTAGACTAGTGCCTAGGACATAGTAAATCCTGAGTACATCTTGGCTGTTATTATGATGAATTGTTGTTATTAGTATTATTATTATACTGCATAGATGGCACTATAAGAGTAGTCATTGTCTTAGGAAGGTGTTTGTTAAAGTAACTACTACAACATCCAGACTATTGAGCTTAAGTATAAACTTCTCAAACTTCGTTTTATCCTTTAATTTTAGCTTTTGGAATTTGTTGAAATGCCTCTTCAGTTCATTAAGCAGTGAACTTGAAACTCATTAATTCATGTATTTACCTGGCATGGTCTTTGTTTATAACTACTGGGAATGCTCTATTTTTGTCAACCCCTAATGATTGTTGGACAATATCTTGAAATAATTTTCAGTGATGGTTACTTTTTTGACGGGCCCTACCTTTGTGCAGTGAACTACTTTTTTTGGAAAGATGCTTGGATTTAGGAAAATAGGCATCTGAATGAACAGAATATAGTCCCTTGGGTGTAAGTGATGATCCTTTCGTTCTACCATTGTCAAGAGATGGCATTATGATTTATCTGGACATGTATGCAACTTGCAGGCCCATTTTATCATTCATTGTCTTACAAATAAGCCCTGTTCCCTGTTTAACCAAGCCTCAACCACAGAAGGTGGGTAGCAAGCTGATAAATCTCTACCAAGGCACTGGGTCTTCAGACTGGTAATTTAATGGTAAATCACTATTCTGGTAATCCAAAAAGACAAAATTTCTGGTTGTCCCAATATTCTGATTTCAAGGCAATCATTCATCTTTGGCCCCAGACCAGTGCTGAAGTAAATGTGTGCAGCCAATTCCAGTATGTGCTGAGTCTAAGATTAAGCAAGCTCTTGACACCTGGAACCCTCAGATGTTAATCTCTTCTTAGTCAGTTTCCTGATCTTCTATTTGCTCTTCAACTCCCTTGGTTTCCCTGATATTCTTTTCTCCTTTTTCATTGTTCCTCTTTCACTTCTCATTCTTGGTTTCTTTTACGGACTCCACTTCTATAGTTCTCACATTAAAAGATAGCTTTATCTAGTTTTAAACTTCTACCCTCTACTCTTCTTGTTCTGTTCTCTCTTTCTGAATGCTTTTTCTGACTTGCATGCCAACAATTATTACCCCTGTTCTGATGACTCCCATCCCATTTTACTAGCTCCTAAATTCTTCCCTGATCTTCAGACTTATGAATCCAGTGGCCTGGCAACTGGGCATGTAGATGAATATTGAAATCATCTTTCCTGTATAAGCCTGGGTTTTCTGTCCTAGTTGTGGCATCATTATCCTACAACATTCAAATAAAAATCAACTGTTTTTTCCCATTTTGGTGTACTGTAATGTGTTTCTTGAATCTCCTTTCTCTCCATCTTTATTGTAGTTGTCCTGATTCAGGTCCACGTATTTGTCATCTGAATATTAATTTTGTTTTGATCGCTTTAATGTATCATTATAAATTTTATCATTAAATATATCCATCATGCTTTCTATTTTTTAATTTCATCCATTGCTTTAATGCTTTGGTGGTACTAATCTACCATGAAATAAGTTAAATATTCATATAGATTTCCCTCTAGATTATTATGGTTTCCTTTTTTATTAATTATTAATGCTTTATAGTTTCTTTTCTTTTTCATGTTAAATGTTCTTTCATTTTATTATCATTACTTATTTAAGGTTTGGATACTTGAATTTTTCTTGATTGAGTTTCTTGAATGTTTACTCCAATAATTTTTGCAAGAACTAGTTCTTACAATTATTAATTTTAGTATATTTTTATTTTTTAAAACATTTTTACTTATTTCTGCTTTCATTTTTAATAGTATCTTTTTTTTCTGATTTTCCTAACTTTTCTTTGTTGATAGCATTTAGGATATGAATTTGCCTCCAGGTTACAGCTTTTTAAGCAACATGTGTTATAGTATGCAGTACTTTAAAAATATTCACCTTTTATATATGAAGAATTTCACATGTATGTAATGTAAGCAGAATAGTTTAATCACCCCCCAGGTACCTATCACCAAACTTCAACAATTATCAACATTTTGCCATACTTATTCCCCCATGCCCCCATTTTTTTTGCAGTATTCTAAAGCAAATCCTAGATATTGTGAAATACAGTAATATTTATTTATATTTTTAATTTTGAGTTTCCTACTATTAAAAAAAGTTTAGATTATATATGTGTGTAAGTATTTGCATGTTTATGTACTCATATGTATATATGTGTGTAAGTATTTGCATGTTTATGTACTCATATGTATATATGTGTATTTGTGTGTATATATACAGACACTCTGATACACATGCACAAACATTTTCAAGTAATTGGTGAATCTTTTAAGCTTGATTAAAATATTTGCAGTTTCAGGGAATGTAGTCAGATAATTTGATCTGCATTATTTCTGCTTCTCCTAATAAACTTCGTTCTTCTTATAGATCATTATCTCACCAATTTGACAAACTATGTGTTCTTCAAATGCAAGGAAAATCTGCTTTTAGCGTTGGAAGCACAATATATTTTATCAACTATGCTAGTCAAATTTCCATGCTACCATTATCTTAATTATAATAATCCAAATCTCCATGTTGTCAAATTCGTCATGTTCTGTCCAAAGCTGGGAACATTGTATTAAAATCTATTATGACAACGTTTTCATTTTTATCTGCCTGCCAATTTTTGCTTAATATATTTGGATGTTATATTATTTGACTCATAAAGGTTCATGGCTGATATATCTTTTATGAAACTTTTATCAATATAAAACAACTCTCTTTTATTCTATTTTATGCTTTTTGTCTTGAAGCCTACATTGTCCAAAGTTAACACTGTCACTTTTACTTAAATTTAATTTGTGCTCTCTAGATTCCTCCTCTCCGGGCAGGGCATCTCTGAAAGAAAGGCAGCAGCCCCAGGCAGGGCCTTATAGATAAAACTCCTATCTCCCTGGGACACAGCACCTGGGGGGAGGGACAGCTGTGGGCGCAGCTTCAGCAGACTTAAATATTCCTGTCTGCTGACTCTGAAGAGAGCAGCGGATCTTCCAGCATGGTGCTCAAGCTCTGCTAAGGGACAGACTGCCTCCTCAAGTGGGTCCCTGACCCCCGTGCTTCCTGACTAGGAGACACCTCCCAGCAGGGGTTAACAGACACCTCATACAGGAGAGCTCTGGCTGGCGTCTGGCAGGTGCCCCTCTGGGAGAAACTTTCCAGAGAAAGAAACAGGCAGCAATCTCTGTTGTTCTGCAGCCTCTGCTGGTGGTACCCAGGTAAACAGGGTCTGGAGTGGACCCCAGCAAACTCCAGCAGACCTGCAGCAGAGGGGCCTGACTGTTAGAAGGAAAACTAACCAAACAGAAAGGAATAGCATCAACATCAACAAAAAGGACATCCCCACAAAAACTCCATCTGAAGGTCACCAACATCAAAGACCAAAGGTAGATAAATCCATGAAGACGAGGAAAAGCCAGTGCAAAAAAGCTGAAAATTCCAAAACCAGAATGCTTATTCTCCTCCAAAGGATCACAACTCCTTGCCGGCAAGGGAAGAAAACTGGACAGAGAATGAGTTTGATGAATTGGCAGAAGTAGGCTTCAGAAGGTGGGTAATGACAAACTCCTCTGAGCTAAAGGAGCATATTCTAATTCAATGTAGGGAAGCTAAAAACCTTGAAAAAAGGTTAGAGGAATTGCTAACTAAAATAACCAGTTTAGAGAAGAATATAAATGACCTGATGAAGCTGAAAAATACAGCATGAGAACTTCGTGAAACATACACAAGTATCAATAGCTGAATTGATCAACTGGAAGAAAGGATGTCAGAGATTGAAGATCAACTTAATGAAATAAAGCATGAAGACAAGATTAGAGAAAAAAGATGAAAAGGAATGAACAAAGCCTCCAGGAAATATGGTACTATGTGAAAAGACTAAACCTATGTTTGATTGGTGTACCTTAAAGTGATGGGGAGAATGGAACCAAGTTGAAAAACACTCCTCAGGATGTTAACCAGGAGAACTTCCCCAACCTAGCAAGAGAGGCCAACATTCAAATTTAGGAAATACGGAGAACACCACAAAGATACTCCTTTAGAAAAGCAACCCCAAGACACATAATCATCAGATTCACCAAAGTTGAAATGAAGGAAAAAACGTTAAGGGCAGCCAGAGAGAAAGGTTGGGTTTCCCACAAAAGGAAGCCCATCAGACTAACAGTGGTTTTCTCTGCAGAAACCCTACAAGCCAGAAGAGAGTGAGGGCCAATACTCAACATTATTAAAGAAAAGAATTTTCAACCCAGAATTTCATATCCAGTCAAACTAAGGTTCATAAGCAAAGGAGAAATAAAATTCTTTACAGACAAGCAAATCTTGAGAGATTTTGTCACCACCAGGCCTGCCTTACAAGAGCTTCTGAAGGAAGCACTAAATATGGAAAGGAAAAGCTGATACCAGCCACTGCAAAAACATACCAAATTATGAAGACCATCGACACCATGAAGAAACTGCATCAACTAAGAGGCAAAATAATGAGCTAGCATCATAATGACAGGATCAAATTGACACATAACAGTATTAACCTTAAAGGAAAATGGGCTAAAAGCCCCAATTAAAAGACACAGACTGGCAAATTGGATAAACAGTCAAGACCCACTGGTGTTGCTGTATTCAGGAGACTCATCTCATGTTCAGAGACACACGTAGGCTCAAAATAAAGGGATGGAGGAATATTTACCAAGCAAATGGAAAGCAAAAAAAAAAAAGCAGGGATTGCAATCCTAGTCTCTGATAAAGCAGACTTTAAACCAACAAAGATAAAAAAAGAGAAAAAAGGGCATTACATAATGGTTAAGGGATCAACACAACAAGAAGAGCTAACTATCCTAAATATATAGGTAACCAATACAGTAGCACACAGATTCATAAAGTTCTTAGAGACATACAAAGAGACCTAGACTCCCACACAATAATAGTGGGAGACTTTAACATCCCACTGTCAATATTAGACAGATCAACGAGACAGAAAATTAACAAGAACATTCAGGACTTGAACTCAGCTCTGGACCAAATGGACCTAATAGACATCTACAGAAAACTCCACCCCAAATCAACGGAATATATGTTCTTCTCAGTTCCACATTGCACTTATTCTAAAACTGACCACACAATGGGAAGTTTTGGTCTATTGCACTCCTCAGCAATTGCAAAATAACAGAAATCATAACAGTCTCTCAGACCACAGTGCAATCAAATTAGAACTCAGGATCAAGAAACTCACCCAAAACTGCACAACTGCATGGAAACTGAACAACCTGCTCCTGAATGACTGCTGGGTAAATAACAAAATTAAGGCATAAATAAATAAGTTCTTTGAAACCAATGAGAAAAAAGACACAATGTACCTGAATCTCTGGGACACAGCTAAAGCAGTGTTTAGAGGGAAATTTATAGCACTGAATGCCCACAGGAGAAAGTGGGAAAGATCTAAAATAGACACCCTAACATCACAATTAAAAGAACTAGAGAAGCAAGAGCAAACAAATTCAAAAGCTAGCAGAAGACATGAAATAACTAAGATAAGAGCAGAACTGAAGGAGATAGAGACACAAAAAACCCTTCAATAAATCAGTGAATCCAGGAGCTGGTTTTTTTTTAAAAGATTAACAAAATTGGTAGACCACTAGCCAGACCAATAAAGAAGAAAAGAGAGAAGAATCAAGTAGACACAATAAAAAATGATAAAGGAGATCACTACTGATCCCACAGAAATACAAACGACCATCAGAGAATACTATAAACACCTCTATGCAAATAAACTAAAAAATCTAGAAGAAATGGATAAATTCCTGGACACATACATCTTCCCAAGACTAAACCAGGAAGAAGTCGAATCCCTGAATAGACCAATAACAAGTTTTGAAATTGAAGCAATAATTAATAGCCTACCAACCATAAAAAGTCCAGGACCAGAGAGATTCAGAGCTGAATTCTACCAGAGGTACAAAGAGGAGCTGGTACTATTTCTTCTGAAACTATTCCAAACAATTGAAAAAGAGGGACTCCTCCCTAACTCATTTTATGAGGCCAGCATCATCCTGATACCAAACCGTGGCAGAAACACAACACAAAAAGAAAATTTCGGGTCAATATACCTGATGAACATCAATGCGAAAATCCTCAATAAAATACTGGCAAACCAAATTCAGCAGCACATTAAAGCTTATCCATCACGATCAAGTTGGCTTCAACCCTGGAATGCAAGACTGGTTCAACATACACAAATCAATAAATGTAATCCATCACATAAACAGAACCAATGACAAAACCCACATGATGCAGAAAAGGCCTTCAATAAAATTCAACACCCCTTCATGCTAAAAACTCTCAATAAACCAGGTATTGATGGAACATATCTAAAAATAACAAGAGCTATTTATGACAAACCCACAGCCAATATCATACTGAGTGGGCAAAAGATGGAAGCATTCCCTTTGAAAACTAGCACAAGCGAAGGATGCCCTGTCTCACCACTCCTATTCAACATAGTATTGGAAGTTCTGGCCAGGGCAATCAGGCAAGAGAAAGAAGCGTATTCAAATAGGAAGAGAGGAAGTCAAATTGTCTCTGTTTGCAGATGACATGATTTTATATTTAGAAAACTATCTTCTCAGCTCAAAATCTCCTTAAGCTGATAAGCAACTTCAACAAAGTCTCAGGATACAAAATTAATGTGCAAAAATCACAAGCATTCCTATACACCAATAATAGGCAAATAGCAAGCCAAATCATGAGTGAACTCCCATTCACATAAATACCTCCCATTCACATAAAATACCTAGGAATACAACTTGCAAGAGATGTGAAGGACCTCTGCAAGGAGAACTACAAACCACTGCTCAAGGAAGTAAGAGAGGACACAAATAAATGGAAAAACATTCCATGCTCATGGCTAGGAAGGATCAATATCGTGAAAATGGCCATACTGCCCAAAATAATTTATAGATTCAGTGCTATCCCCATCAAGCTACCACTGACTTTCTTCACAGAATTAGAAAAAACTACTTTAAATTTCATCTGGAACCAAAAAACAGCCTGTATAGCCAAGACAATCCTCAGCAAAAAGAACAAAGCTGGAGGCATCATGCTACCTGACTTCAAACTATACTAGAAGGCTGCAGTAACCAAAACAGTGTGGTACTGGTACCAAAACAGATATATAGACCAATGGAACAGAACAGAGGCCTCAGAAATAATACCACATATCCACAAGCATCTGATCTTTGACAAACCTGACCAAAACAAGCAATGGGGAAAGGATTCCCTATTTAATAAATGGCATTGGGAAAACTGGCTAGCCATATGCAGAAAACTGAAACTGGACCCCTTCCTTACACCTTATACAAAAATTAACTCAAGATGTTTTAAAGACTTAAATGTAAGACCTAAAACCATAAAAACCCTAGAAGAAAACCTAGGCAATACCATTCAGGACATAGGCATGGGCAAAGACTTCATGACTAAAACAGCAGAAGCAATGGCAACAAAACCAAAAATTGACAAATGGGATCCAATTAAACTAAAGAGCTTCTGCGCAGCAAAAGAAACTATCAGAGTGAACAGGCCACCTACAGAATGGGAGAAAAATTTTGTAATCTATCCATCTGACAAAGAGCTAATATCCTGAATCTACAAAGAACTTAAATTTATAAGAAAAAAACAACCCCATCAAAAAGTGGGCAAAGTATATGAACAAGCACTTCTTAAAAGAAGACATTTATGCGGCCAAAAAACATATGAAAAAAAGCTCATCATCACTGGCCGTTAGAGAAATGCAAATCAAAAGCACAATGAGATACCATCTCACGTCAGTTAGAATGGCAATCATTAAAAAAAATCAGGAAACAACAGATGCTGGAGAGGATTTGGAGAAATAGGAATGCTTTTACACTGTCGTTGGGCGGGTAAATTAGTTCAACCACTGTGGAAGACAGTGTGGTAATTTCTCAAGAATCTAGAACCAGAAATACTATTTGACCCAGCAATCCCATTACTGGGTATATACCCAAAGGATTATAAATCATTCTACTGTAAAGATACATGCACACGTATGTTTATTGGGGCACTATTCGCAATAGCAATAACAAAGACTTGGAACCAACCCAAATGCCTATCAATGATAGACTGGATAAAGAAAATGTGGCACATATACAACAATGGAATACTATGCAGCCATAAAAAAGGATGAGTTCATATCCTTTGCAGGGACATGGATGAAGCTGGAAACCATAATTCTCAACAAACTAACACAGGAACAGAATTCCAAACACCACATGTTCTCACTCATAAGTGGGAGTTGAACTATGAAAACACATGGACACAGGGAGGGGTACATCACACATTGGGCCTTGTCAGGGGGTGGGGGGCTAGGGGAAGGATAGCATTAGGAGAAATACCTAATGTAGATGACAGGTTGATGGGTGCAGCAAAGCACCATGGCACGTGTATACCTATGTAACAATCGTGGGCATTCTGCACGTTTCCCATAACTTAAAGTATAAAAAAATTAATTTGTACTTGGTTGAGAAATCTCTAGTCATTCTTTCATTTTAAACATGTATGTGCACTTTTAAATTAGAGATATTATAGTAGCAGCACATTGAATGTGTCTTTTTACTCAATCTTCTGGTAGACTTTCTGCTATTTCTGAGTTTTTCAAAACTGATGTTTGAGTTTCTCTCTTTTCCTTGTGTGTATTTATCTCCCTTTTATGTTTTATTTCTTTTCCTTCAATTTTTGTATTTTTAAATTTTTTGCTACCTTTGTTTTGGTGATTGTTTTTGAATGGTCTATGCTTTCATGTTTTCTATTGATTAGGAAAGTAAGAATCTGAATATTTATTCCACTCACTTTCCAAAATATCCAGCCTCTATTTTTTTATATGAAAGTTAAGAAACAATAACTTTTGTTTATTCACAAGGAAAGTGTTGACATTCCCTGCTCCCAAACCTCCCAGTCCCTCTTATTTATATGAAAAGTGGTGCTGGACTCAGAATCAGCTTGATATTATTAAATTATTTTTGCTTCAGATCTATTCTTTTACAAGATTTATTTTTGACATTTGAAATTAGATTTGAAAATGTATTTATGATTGGTATTTAGGCCTAATACTTATGTTTATTTATTTCAGGGTTCATCGCTAAGATTTATATTCTAACTTTCCAAAATTTAAATTTGCAAATTAAATTTTAATTTGAGTATTAGTAGTCTTTTCTTTCCAATCTATTTTCCTTTCACCTCAGATTGTTCTTTCTTTATGACATCTTGAGGATGCCCAAGAGTTTTCTAAAGTTGTTTTCCTGATTCCTATAAAACCAAGAAATATCGAAAACTTCTAAATGGTACTCTTTGCTTATAGCCATATGTAACCACAGGTCTCTTGTTTATTTACATTCACTCAAATAACAACTTTTTCCAATTCATTGTTGTTAATTTGTCCTCCTTGCACCTTTTCCCACATACTATTGGGTAAGTTGATGTGTTCACCTTCCTTTCTAATTTCCAGGGACCAGGGATCATTTACATACTGTGGTCTTGCATTACTGCGATGAAATCTTCCACCACTCCCACCACCCACTACAAGAGATGGAATTAATTGAAACTACAGCCTTCAAGAGACATTTGGAGCAATACTCTTCCAGTTCTTTCTTCCACATTTTATTTGTGGGTACAGCGTCTCCCAGGATGTAGTGTGCTGTAATTATTCTTCCACCCTTTTATTTTCTGGGAGTTTCTCTATCTGAATAGCACAGAAATATTAGTGGATAGGAAGGGAATATAATATTCTATCCATCTGAAAATTAACACCCATGTTGAACAGAATCCCTTTTCAGTTTCCTGTTTACTACAGGGTCCAAATCTCTGAGCTGAGCTGTGCAGCAGATAATAGGAGAAGAAAAAAAGATACCTGCTCCTCTTTCAAGGACGTGGACTTTTCTGTTTTGTGAAGTGATACTTGGATAGGCTACTGGATATTTTCTCATTCTTGACTCATCAACCTTATAATTGGTCTAAGTTTTTCCCAAATTTGTAGCTCTGGATTTCCTGTCACTCCTAGTTTTCTGTGTTAAAGTTTTCCATTTTGATATGTATGATATTGACAACTGGGAGAGGCAGTGCCCAGGGGATGGTAGCCAGATGCCATTTTGTACCAGAAGTCTTTTATTATCTACATTTAATGGTTATAAATAATGAATGCCTTTGTTGGGAGTACTTTCATTTACTCATTCCAACAAACTCTTAGACCAATTTTCCTTGAGATCAATTAAATTCAATCCCTCCTGTATGCCAGACTTTAAAAAAATGCCCAATACTAAGTAGAATAAAAAATGTCTTTTGCTTCAGAGTAGTATGATTAGGACTATAACAGAGTTGGGTTGAAAGGTCTATAGTACACCAGAGTCAAGACTACGTTTGTCCTTGGGAAATTGGAAAGGCTACTGGAGAATATGAAACTTCAGTGAATCTTGGGGTATCACTGGATATTTAGAAGCTGGGTTGAGGGGCCAGGGGATCCTTGGCAGAAAGAAAAGCATAGTGACATGAGAGTGCATCATGAGATCAGGAAGTCATGATAGGTTGTAGGCAATTAAGCTGAAGAGGTTTATGAGGCCCTTATTTGTGTGGATAGTGGACAGGTGCTGGGAATGATGGATGGCAGGAAGATCTGATACTAGAGCAGTTAAAATTATCTAGGCAAGTGAGATGGGGAAATGAAGTCAAACAGCAGCAGCAGGGATGGAGGGAAAGTGACAAGTTTATGAGTCTAAACTGGAGAGAGAGAGGATGAGGGAAGAAGAATGTAGAATTTGAAGATTGTTTGGTTCTTCTGGTCTTCCAATTATGTTCAAGTATATGTGAGATGCAATGGTCAAAGTAATAGGTACATAATAAATAAACCATTTCTGTTTTCAGCATCTGTAGATCAAACTTTAGCTTGCCTTAGTTTATCATTCGTGTGTTTAGACTATGATCAAATAAATATATTCATTTTCACACTCTATTTTTAGTGGTACTAATATATTTTTTGTGACGCAAAATAGTCACATTCCTAGTGATGGGAAAACTAATGCATAAATGGATTTGGCATAAATCTTGAGGAATCCCTGAGAGATCTGGTTGGATAATGAGTCCTATTTTTGATTTTCAATCAAATATTCTTTCCACTAGAATTATCTGCTTTCTTGCTCAAAAAGAGTCAACTAACTATCTGAAAACTAATGATAATTTGCAAGTTACAAGAAAGCCATTTTCTACCTTTGTTATACTTGTAATAAATCCTAGGTCCAATGAATATGTTTTTAAATATGTTTCAAATAGGTATTACTAAAGTAAACCATAAGAGAGACAAAGTAGAATTATTTCCCTCAAGTTTTTGGGAAAGTAATATTCTGTTCAGAGAATCAAATGGCATTATCCAAATGAAAGTATTATTTATCCCTCAAAGGAATTTCTACCTATTACTCACAATTTAGTTAGGTAGATTTTCTTCTCATGTTTGAGTTTCTTTTCCAAAATCATTTATCTTTTATTCAGTTGAAAAATACATATATATTCTTAAGCGGTATTATTGAGAAGTTTTCCACTAATGGGGGAGTAAAGAATAAAACAAAAAAATTAATACATGCTAGAATTGCTCAAACAACTTCAAGTACCCATCTTATAAACCCATAATACATTTATAGGTTTTTGAAATTGAGAAAGAAATCTCCATTTGCTCTAGTCAAATAATTTTTAGAGGTGCTAGAAATCATATATACATATATGTATGTATATATGTACCAGATTTAATAACTTGGCATGCATTACAAGAAATAACATTTTTCTCACATTCTTACTTTAAGGTAAAGATTTTTAAAAAAATACTTTAGTGAATTGAGATAGTCACTCTAGAAATTAATGCTAAAATGTTTAGTGATGCACTTGTACTAATTTAAAAACATAACTTGTTAACCATTATATAGTATTTGTTTCCAAACATTTAAAAAACTCTAATAAAGATTCTAACACAATTGTAATCAGCTACAATCAATATGCAGGAGCTGGTTTTCATTTTCCACTTTGCACTGAGAGGCAGTTCTTAAAGTGCTGAAGACCTAGCTGTACTTGAAAATGGCTGAGATTTAGTTGTGCTTAGATCTCTTATATTCCTCCTCAACTTTCAAGACATGCTTTCATTTGATAAGGATGCTTTGGAATCTGAATTTTAACATGTAGCTGTGATGCATTTCAGCATGCAAATATACACACTGTATATTATTTTGCTTTTACAGTAATTATTTTCATTTATGAAATTCTAAATTCGATGTTAAATATTGAATATTTTGGTTAAGTGACAGCTTGTGCTAGCTTTAGGATATTCCTGCTTGATAATTATTCATGAGAAGAACAGCTGAAAACAAACTAGTTATACACCTTGGCAAATTACTGTGATTGTAATTCTGTGAAATTTCCCCATGGCCATGTGACTTTATTATAAGTACTCTAACAGTGCAGATGTCCAGAATGTTGTCGTTGTCACAAATGTTATTCCTATATTCAAAGTTTTTGAATTACTCTTAACTGCTTCAGAGAAAACGTGACAAAGGAGATGAGACATGCAATATGTATGATAGAACATATGCAGCTCTCTTCAGTGCCTGTCCTCCCTTGGTTTGGAGTGGGCATGGTGCTTACATCCCTTATTCCTGCAAAATAAGGAAGCAGTGGCATTTTTGTGAAATCTAGATATGATGAAAACATTTCCTATTAAATGTTAAGAAAAAAGTAGCCCCAATTTATCATTCGTCAAAAAATTTCTGTCGAAAATCAAATGTTATTTCCCTACTCTCCTTCTCCCTTTCAGTTCCTTCCCCATATGGTTCCTGAAATGTTCCTCCATTTAAATGGATTTTAAAGCTCATTCCTTATAGTTCCTAGAGCATTCATTGCTTTTGAGAAAAAAAGAAAAACATTTTAGCATGTGCTATTTTTGTTATTCTAATTAGCAAAAACAGCTGGTCCTGTGCAGCTCAGACTGTAGTCTTTTTCAACACATTGTTCAGATTTTTTTTCTTCTTCTTCTGTCAAGCTACAGGCTACCACCTCTCCTCTTCCCACACAAATCAACCCCCAAAACACCTGCACACACAACCTTAAATATCACCTACATCTGCCATGAAAGGAAAAGGGAAACAGCCTCCCCTTCCTGGTGGCTGGGCAGGGCACATGTACCAAATTATACAGAAGGTGAACTAAAGTCATTCTTAAGGTTCTCACTACTTCACTGATTTTCCATTCACCCAGCATATGTTTCTGTCGTCTCAAAAAGTGCATCTGTCTTATAGTTTTTTGTTTTCTTTCTTTTTTCTCAACCCCCTCTGGCACATAGGAGTAGCCTCTTGCAGAATCAGAGATTGAAAAATTGGATAATCAAAACTTACTCACAATTTGGTATCTATCAAAGGCATGTGACTGCCAATGATCATTGGAGCTGATCAAAGTCACACTCTGTTACCATGGCAACGAATCCCCATCTTGTTTATATGGAGGGGTACGCACCACAGGAGAATAATGTTGAGATGAATTAAATTTGTGTTGTTGAGAAATTAACATGTGGGATGTTTAGGGGTGAGTTGAATGGGTGTTTATCAGTGTGCTTTTTTTTTTTTTGTAAATGGAGGTGGTGGGGACAAAACATGACATATAGAGGGTGTCATTATAAAAGAATCCAGTAAAACACTGAAATGTTCCATAAGTGCATTTTTAGATGGGATCCAGATATGAGGAAATAGTCTTTATTTGGTTTTGTCACTGACATATTTCATGAGCTTGTCTTTCCAAGCTCTTCAGCTATTCTTCCCTTTTCCAAATTTAAAAAGGATTGCAATGGTGTGTGTCTTTCAAGTTTTATATTTGTTTATTTATTGAGCTGGAAACAATTCTTAATCTTGTACCATTAATCTTTTAGGGAAGATGTAGTATGGCTAGTATATTTTAATTTTCAGTGATTTGAGACCTCCCCTAGCCAAATTTTGGGTTTGCATAAAGCTCTTTGTGTTTTTAGTTTATAAGATATTATCTGATCATGAGGGTTGTAAGTCATTACACAATTTTCCAATGATTTTTTTGGCACCTTTTAATGTTTTAAATTTTTCAGAATAAATTAGAGTATCTTCTTCAAAGGAAATACAATACACATGGGATATTTTAACTTTTTGTCATGTTCAAATACTAGCTCTCCTTGCCATGTCCCCCATTCTTTACCTAGGCACTGTTTTCCTGCTATTTTATCTCTCTTATCCTTCCACGTCATTCACCATCCATGTCAAATGCTTGCACTATAACCTCTATCCAATGTGGAACTATCATTTTCCTCTTCTCCAGCAGCCACCAGGAATCATTGACTCATATTTTCTGAAATAAACAAGACTATCATATGTCCAAATATTAGTTCCCATTGCACTTGTTATTTTAGCCTTCTACCTTTTTATACTTCTCTTATTATTATTCAAAATACGAGTTCCACAAATATTTGAAGTGACTGCCTCTTTCAAGACTGTGCTGTCATGTAAGATATGATCCCATTCTGGGAGTTTGAAATCTTATGAGAAAGAGGGAGAAACCAACACTCACTGACAGTCTCCTATGTGTCAGTGCCCCTGCACAGCACTTGATGCATTTGTAGCTTGTTCAATCTTTACATACACTAGAGGAGGTGAGTAATACCCTCATTATTCAAGTGAAGAAACTAAGTCATGGGGAGGTTAAGCAACTTGCTTAAGAACATGAAATGGAAGTCCACCCCTAATATTTGAAGTGCTTTATTTCAAGATTCTTGTTACTTTGTTTGCTTTTTCTAGGCTACATTGGGTGATAAAACATATACACATAAATACCATACAAGATGCAGCGAAATGAGTGTTACGTGAATGTCAATGGCAATATCTTCTTCAGAAGTGAAAGATGAGGAATAAATTCCTTCTAACCAGAATGTCAGGAATTAATTCTGAGGAGGAGGTAGCATTAGACAAGGCTGTGAGAAGGGTGGCACTTATTAGGTAAAGATGGAACCTAGAGGTGAGGCTGAATGACTTGCCCTCTGTCACCTAGGTTGATCACAGATGCTTATAATATTGGTGCGTAGGCCATTTAGGATGTATGCTCAATACAAACAGATGAAATCTTTGTTTTTCATTTTTGTATCTATCTTGGCCAGTACATTTAAAATGTTCATTTATGTTTTCCAGGAGGAGGCTTGCTGCTTTCTTTTTAATACCTGAATTACTTATCAAAAATAGCTATCCTAGAATGGGATATGATGGATGATATATTTATCTTTTATTAATCTATAAGGCCCTAAGGACCCATAACCTTTGTTAGTCAAATTAAATTAAATCAATGAAGAACTAGTACAACCAGCCTTATATAATTTTCTATTGCATATGCTAATCAAGGGTGGTGATAAATTCAGACAGAACCTATTAACCACTGCTTTACTGTTTACTTCAACCCTTTCTCCTACCAAGTTGTGATGACCTGCTAACATTGAGGCAATGAGTCTTGTTTCAGATTGCTGGAAGTGTTGTTAAAAACAAAGAGAAGGGTCAGGAAATAGAAAATATGCCAAATTATCTATTGGAGAGGATTAGCCAGGAACCAAGGGATAATAGGTTTCTATACCATTCTCTTAGTTGTGTACCTATTATAAGGCAATGGTCTTGTACTTTCTCAGTTCCTCATCCCTATACTGAGAATGATGATACTGCTCTCGTCACTAAAGTTATTAGCAAACAAGTGTTAAGTACTTCCTATGTCATTTTAAAATGGATGCATATTAATTTACTACAACAGCTTTATGGAGAAGGTAAGTTTCATAATGAAACTATCTTGCCACCCAAAGAGGTTCTATCTGTGTTTATCTTCTTAGAAAAGCAAAAGGCTGCACACTTCCTGTTGTCCTCTCCAATGGCAGTGAGTCAAGGCCTCTCTTGGAGAGCTTTGTGGCTATAGAACCTTCTATCATCAAGGTGGGAACCTGTGAGCAGCAGAGTGCTTCCACACTGACCCTTTCTTGAAGAGGAAGATTCTTTTAGCCCGAGACTTCAGGCAAAATACATTTGGAAAAAAATGTTTCTGAAGTATATTCTTGGAGGCTTCTTCCCCGCAACCCCTTCTGAGTGTCTGAGAAATACAGGCAAAGCTGCTAAATTTAGAGGACAAAATTTTTTTACCCAAAAGTATTAAATAATCTTTCTATTTGCTGGCAAAATGTGTTTAAACCATTTAATTCATTTATTTGCTTTAAGAGGAAAAGAAAATGTGGTCAGTGCCTTCCAGGAAGTGAGTTACTCAGCTGCAAACAGTGCCTGCATTGTTGTTATGGCTGACAGGTTATCCTACTGGTGAGAAAAGGTTTTCCCACCACATTCCAAACGACCACCATCTGAGTATTTTCAGGCTGCTTCAACCTTGTCTAAAGAAGCCAGAAGAATGTCTCCTACTGCTTCAGTTTACAACTTGATGCAGACATTGGGGAATTTTGAAAACTTTCCCATCAAAATCTACAAGAGGCTGTTGTCAGGGTGAGCTGTTTAAAGATCACAGCTATTGGGTAACTGGTTAACATTGTCCCTGCCCAATACCCCACCCACTGCCCCCAGAAGAGCTTTGTAGGCTTTCGAGGTTTCAAAATGGGCCTTTAGGCTGGAAGGCAAAGTGAGGGGGATTCAGGAGCAGAGAGCTCTAGCTCAGCTTCCCTGTGTGCCATTGTGCTTGTTGGGTAAGCAGGGGTTTAATGATAAAGTCATGAACTTAGCATACGTTTTCTCCTCTGTATTGTTCCTTTCTGCAGTGTTGTCTAATTAACAAGGGCATAAGACCCTTCTCTCATCATACCAGGAGATCTGCCACAGATTTCAGCTTACTCAACTTTCACTGACTTGGTGCACATCCAAAGAGTATTGGGGCTTCAGTAATTGCTCAATTATTAAAGAATTGTTAAATAGGTTTGTGTGGAAATGGAGTTTTCTGAAATACATTTGTATCATCAGAATCTAAGCTTATGTTCTTGGGTAATTCTGTCTTCTCTTAAATTTCTGAGTGGCTTTTTCACCCAGTGCTATTTTTTTCCAGCATAGAGGAACAAATTCATAAAAGAAATCTCAATTTGTTAAAGCCTGATATTATGCGTGTAATGACTGGATTCTACAATGAACTGACTTTTGAATTTTAGTGAGTGGTAAATGAACGGATTGGAAACCGTTGCTTTTAGAAATGGGCTCCTTCTGTTCCTTTATTCTAAATTTCATACTAGAAGGAAAGTTATTTTGCAGGTATAGTCCTTTTGCCTGGAGGTTGATTTTAATTTACTTGAAATGGTAGTTTCTTTTCCCTCTTTCCATTAAAGCTTTCTTTCTGTTCAAGTCTAGAGCATTGAAAAACTGTAGCAAGTATTTAGATCCTTTGTGATTTACAGGTTTTATGTATATAGTCAACCTGTAGTCAGCCAGCAAGTATTTCCCTTCCCAGGCATGGAGAAATATTGTCTAAAAGTAAATGAAAACATCAGTGAGGGCTTAATGAATTTCATGAAGCCTTGGGAAAACAACAGACCACAGATGACTTTCCTCTTCTCTTCTCTTTTACTTTTTCTTGAATGCAAGAAACCAGATAAAATATTAGACTTATCAGAGCGTAAATAGAAGATTCTGTTTTGATTAATCCTGGTAACAAATTAGAACAGAAAGACTGACACAAATAGACTAAAAAAATAAAATAAAATAATGAAAAAAACCCCACTTATTTTAACCTTACTCTACAAACCATCTAGAGATGGCACCTGCTCCAGTTGTTCACTGTAGGAGTTGGAAGTTGAGAGGTTAACTTCTTCCAGCCCTTTTGTAAAGGAATAGTGGTCTCCCTTTGTTTTCTTGCTGCAAATCTGTGATACGAAAATAACATTCCATATACCTTCAGAGGAGGAAAAGTTCACACTGACCAATTTTATTTGATTTATTATTAGAAAACTAAGGAAGTTCACACTCTTGTTTACATAGAATTAATATTCAATCTTCTGTTGAGAGGTAGTATCATTAGCCGAAAGAACTTGCAACAGAAGGAAGTGGCTTAGAATTTTAGTCCTTTGCTCCTAGTAGCTGTATGACCTGGTAAGATTCTGAATTCTTCTGGCCTTCACTTGTCTCATCTGTGTAACGGCAATAATATTTTATGGACCTTTTGGTCCATAGAAACTGGAAAAAGATAAAGCCTTAATAATATTCCTTCTAGACATGGGTGCAGTCTTTAGGATGGACAAGTACCACTAATATTTTCAGATTTTTATCTAATAGTCAAGATTTCTCACATGCTATAATAAAATGAGGTTTCATGCTAGACAATGAAACAAGAAAGAAGTGAAAAAATTCCTAATGATAATCCCACTTTGCTTGAAAAAGCAATTCCAAACTGTCAGAAAGACAAAAAAATGGACTTTTTTTTGACACTTGCTAAATTATTACCGTTACTGGATTAACTCTGCATGCTGCTGGTTTACTGGGTCAGATACTGCTGTCCATTTGTCTCTTTTGGGCTTCCTGGTAAATAGTATATAGAGTGAAACCTCATTAACTTCTCCAGTTATTACAGCTAAGTTTTGACTATCCAGGGATGGGCTTGCAACATTTTTATGTACTAATCTATCAGACTAAGGGTTTAAAATAACTTATTCAACTGCCTATTGTTCCTTTTCATGTTTTTCTACTCATAAAACCTACAACCTACACTTAAAAAACAAGAAGATACCTAATTATTGTTCCAGTTGCTATGACTATATAACAAATTATTCCTAGATTCACTGACAAAAAGAAATTTACTTATTAGGTTAATTGATTCTGTGGGTCAGGGATTCAGCCAAGACATGGTGGGGACAACCTGTCTCTGATTTACAGTCTCTGGGTCCTCACCTGGAATCTTGAAAGCTGGAGACTGTAGTCATTTGAAGTTTTCTCACTGACATTCCTGGAAGTCGATGCTGACTGTAGGCTGAAACTTAACTGGGACAGTTGACCAGAAGAACTATGTTTGACCTCTCCATGTAGTCTGGGTTTCCTCATAACATGATGAGAGAGAGGTAGGCAGAAGCTGTATTTTTTTTGACTTCAGCAGTCACATAACATCACTTCCACCCACTCAATTATTCTGAGCCTACCCAAATTCAAGGCAATTCATGGGGAATGAGGAGGTTCCAAAAGAACATGTAGGACTTCAAATATCACTGTAGTCATTTATGGAAAATGCAGTCTACTACAATTACCTTCCCCTCAACATTGAGATGTTGTAAAATATACAACTAAGTAAATATCCACAGCAAAAAAAATAACTACTATTAAGTGGATGCCTTGCTTCTATTCATGAGGGAAGGCTGTTTCTCTTAGGGAGAAAGGAAGAGGAAATAGTTTTAAGCAGAAAGTCATCTGTAACAATTTAACTAGATGACTTGTGATTTCTAAAATAATAAATTATTTCCCAGTTAAATACAAATACCAAATCCACATTGGAAAATCACATTTAAATGTTTTTAGATGGATTGTTCTTCTAGATTATCCAGGATCTCAGCACTACTTCATTGGACTGGTTATTCTAGTTGCTTATTTCTCTTCTTCTAGTTCCCCAGGATTAAAGTTGGTAGTGGTAATGGTGTTTTCAAAGGAAAAAAAAATGTGATGGACATATTCCACCTGTAGTAAGACTTCTAATCATCTACTAATGCTTGAGAGTGTTCAGTGAGATCAGAAATAATCTTTGGATCATTAACTCATTCATTTATTCTTTCATTCAACATACATTTGTTCAATAATTACTTAAAAAGCATGCTAATTGTTATTTGTTCTGTCAAACACAAAGATTAATAATAAGCAGTGTCTGCTTTGAACAGAAATATTAGCTGTCATTTACTGAGCTTAGTATATGTCTGGCATTGTGCTAGCACTTCACATATAGTGTTATTCAACCTTATAGCATGAATTAAGGCAGACATTATTATCACCCATTTTACAGTTGGGCAAACAATTTAGGGAGGCTGATTTCTTGCCTAAGTTTGTACAGCTAGTTGGGAAAACATGTTGATATCACTCTTTGCTTTGTTCGTCTGAAAAGCCTATTTTTCCTACAAGTCTAAACTGCTTCTTCTAAGAATTAGTCTTAGTAAGAGGAGGAGGGAGATAGCTACATTTATAAATAATTGTTATAATATAGGTGGAATTTGATAAGTATCATTCAAAAAGCTATGTGAGTTTGGAGAGCCTGCTTCTTTGCTGAATAATTAGGGGAGAGCATCGTGGAAGTGATGGCATTTGAACTAGAAATTGAAGAACTCGTAGGATTTTAATTTGCGGAGATGGGGATAATAGAGGTAATGTAGATGTTAGAAAAGTGTAACTGGGTTAGGAAGAGCATGGAGACATTTGGGAAATAGCAAATCATACACCTTAGAGTAATCGATGTGGGAGGATTGATGGGTTAGATGGCTGGTTGAGTCCTTATCACACAAGATCATATATGGTAGCTAGTGGGAGTTTAGCAAGTAATAATGAGCAGTTGCAGGTGGTTGAGTAGGAGATTGACATAGGGTAGGGCAACAGGAAGAGAAATCCAGCTGGGCTACCCAGGATGGACTGGAAGGGTTTGGTGACAGTGACGCTAGGAGGTTTGCAATAATCTGGAAAATGATGACGCGGGTAGAGGGGGATTGGTGATGGGAGCTATAAAGAGAGAGAGTGAAATGTGTTGACATTTCTATAAAAAGTTAACTGCAAGTCTGGAGCAAAAAGAAGAGCCATTTGTTATATCTATATCTATGTTTCCCACCAACTGACCAGTTGTTCAATTAAAGTACATTTGCCTCTTCCCTCGAATTATCTTTTTTTACTTTATTAAGTCATACTCTCCGGGGGCCCTACCAAGCACCTGCATCTAATTTGGAAATGGGTTGTCATGGCTCCTGTTGCGACTGTTCTGCATTTGGAAGTTCATTTTCTATTCCGTTTATTTCGATTAAATGCTTTGCTATTAGACTCCTTGCAAGTCATACCCCCGGAATATGAAGTCAGAAAATAACGTGAGCAGCCCTGAAAGTGCTGAATTGCTGGTCAGTGTTGTGAGGAGCAAGAGGAATAAAAGGATAACAGTGCATGTTGCAAGTAATTTTGTAGAAGAGGTTTATTCCATTTTTGCCCCTGAAATAGTTCTGATTTTCTAAAAAAAAAAAAAAAGAAAGAAAGAAAAAGAAAAAAGAAAAGAAACGGTGTGCTTGGTTGATTCTGTTAACATTTCCCTTTCCCTGTGCCCCTCAAGGTAGGTCTGTGCACATGGAGAGGTTAATATTAATATTGCCTTTTTACAGCTAAATTATCTGGCTCTAGAACCATTCACAGATTCTATTAAAGACCCCTGTGGAGGATTGCTTCTTCAAATAGGCATTTTAATTCACCCGGGTACAATAAGGTGTTACCTTTCTTTCATTAATAAAATGGGAACTCATAAAGAAAACCAGATTATCTTGAATTTATGATCAAGTAATTTTGTTTCTCTTAGCCTGGATAATAATTGTGAAACATCATTTCCCCCCTTCTTTCCTTTTCCCTTCATACACTTCGACATTCTTAATTTCTCATGTTTATTTATCTTTTTTATTTTAATTTGACAGGGAAAGCTATCTAGGACCCCAGGAGGCAAACGCTGTGACTCAAGAATTGGTCTTTTCCATCTCCAATTTAATGAAATAATAAGCCAGTAATTGATTTATATTTATATTTACATTTGCCTTACAAATTCTGGGATTTTTGTCACCTTTATTGTAATTCCATAAGTAGTCACTAAATTACTTCCAATGACCTCTGTTTTTCCCTTACCTACCCAGTGACTGAAGTCCTTTATTTTTGTCTAGGGGCTTTGTTCTTCTCTTTAATTTCTCCTGGCGTTTTTCCTTACCTCAAATTTTAGTTTTCATTTCAAAATGTTATTGAGTTAATTTTTTTTTTTTTGCCTAAAACTCTGTACCTTTATTAACAGATAATTTGCTTAAAACAATTTGGCTTTGTGTCTTTCTCCCTTCTCACAGTCTCATCTCAAGTGTTCTAATGAGGACTGGATTCTGGTCGTATTAACAATTTAGGACACAACTTGGAATTGGAAAGTAAGCTAGCTGGGCTTCTGAGCATTTTGGGTGCACTCACAAAACCTTTTTATCCAAATCATGATGTTCATGGGCCTTCCTTCATTCAGACACTTGTTGCTTTCTCCATTCTTATTAAGAAACCTTTATTATCTGGTAATAACTTAAAGAAGATTAGATATAGCTTATTAGAAGGAGGATTGAGGAAAGAAGGATCTGTTGGATTTAGGCAAATGGCATAAGAAATGATAGCTGATAGCCTGATATTTGTGGAAAATATTAAGCACTGAAAAATTTGTAACTACATTAATATTGGCAAATGTGATCTCTGGGGCACCCACTATGTGTCAGGTGCTTTTCCATATATCATCTAAGTATCAGTGTTTCCATTTTATAGATGAGCAAATTCGGGCTGAGATGTAAATTGTCAAAACTGTCACAGCTAGTAAGTGGCACTACCAGAGTTATCCAGTAGTCTGTCTGACTCCTGAAATTGTGATGTTGTTCTGTTTCTCCCTATTACCTCAGTGTGCTGCAGTGGGTGCCTGCCCATGAGCACTCATCTTTGAAGAGAAAACTAAATTCAATTCTGTGGCTTCTCCTTGAGGAAGCAAAAAAACAAGTTGTCTTGAAAGAATTTCATAGAAATGAAAGTATATATTTTTGGTTGTTAGGAAATGAACTCTTAAGCTATTTTAAAAGTTAATTATGTGGAACACCCGAGTTCACAGTAAAACAAGATTATTTTAAAATAATCCTGACATCAGAATATCTGGAAATTTGATCCCTGGATTGGGTTTTCCTTTAAAAAAAAGTTCACCATGAGATATCAACATTCATTCATTTATTCACTCACTTTGGTTAACAAACATTGAGTGACTATTGTGCACACAGAAACATTGTTGTGACTCTTGAGAATTTGACCAGATAAGAAAACAAAACTAAACAGAAAATACAAAAAGCATGAAAAGTGAATTTCTGTTATTTAAATAAATGCTGAAATAGTGCTCCTCTTCCTCTACCTCATTCTTCATGTTGCCACTGGAGTTTTTTTTTCCTAAATCCGTAATATGATGGCATTACTTCCTGGTTTCAAACCTCTGACTACCATCACTGCCTATTAAATGTCACGTGGCCTTTCAGAACCTGTTGGTATCCTGCCTTTTCTGTCTCAGCTGAGGCTGCATCCTAAACTGCTCACTCTTATGCCCCAACTGGCAGGCACTCTCACATCTCCTTGCCTGCCCTCTTGCTACTTCCTCCTGGGGCACATCCTGTGTTCTCTCATTCTCTGTTCATCCTGCAGGATCCAACTCAAATGGCCTGGTTGGAAACTGCAAATAGACTAGCGTCTTACGGTTTAGCATGCACAAGAATAGAGAGGCAGCAGCCTAGCAGGCTCAGAACATGGGATGGCTCCATATTGTTGGAGGGCCTGTAGGTGTGATAATTTCACTCTGCCATGTATATATTTGGGGAGCCTTTGGAGGTATGGTTTTTACCCCAGGGGATAAGATTGGACTGAGAAAGACTAATTAGGAAATGCTGGAACAGTTCAAGGCAGAGACAAAGGCCTGTCTAAGGTGGTGCTGCAGGGCTGCTCATGGTCTTGTTCAGACTCCTGCAGCTATATCAGAACTGTCTGGCTGAGCTTGCTCCTTAAAGTCTCATTACAATTTTTTTGGACACTGACTGTCTTCTTGGATCTCCTATAATCTGATTTTAGCTCTTACACATTCTTCCTTGTTCTCTCAGCTCAGGCCATCCTGACCTCCTTGCTGTTCTTTGAACCTTTAAGAAAATCCCACTGTGGGAGCTCTGCCCTTTCTGCTCCCTCTGCCTAAACACAGTCCCCACCATTCTCTGCTCAGGGAGTGTGTCCCTACTGACTCCATTTCAATTAGCACCCCTCTCAGCCACATTCTCACTTTTTACCCTGCTTTATCTCCTTTTTGGTACTCACAGCCATCTCCTATTGTGTGTATATGTTTTTACTGCCCTGTTTACCCCATTCAGAATGTAGATTCTTTAAGATTAAACAGCAGTTTTGTTCTCTGCTATATTCCAGCATCGAGAACTATGCCTGGCATAGAGTAGGTGCTCAAAAATATATATTTAATCATTTAGTAAATTAATAAATAAGTGAGCGTCACAAATCCCCCTGATTCCTCCACTAATCGTTCTACCATCACAAGAACTGATGGGCAACCTTTATGCCAGTATTTTCCAAACCTCTTCACCTCAGGACGTAGAAAATATGATAATATTTGCCTGGTATGACAGTATACTAGCAGGGTTTTAAAGATAGCTATCTGGTGCTTAGTGAACAAAAAGGAATTACGTTTTTCAGTTCAATTATGGTAAGAAAAATGAAATCAAATATTGGATAAAATGTTAAATATTGAATTTTCATAAAAGTTCCAAATGAAAATTTTGTAATTTTACAAAATTTTATAACCACCACTGCCTTATGGCACAGCTGTAACCTGTTTGCCACATACCGGCGGGTGTTGGCTCCCCGTTGCCTTTTTCCATTCTGTCTGGATTTCGGATTTTGCCTTTGGGGCAGGCCTTGCTGGCAGCACAGTGTCCCTCGCTGCATCCCACACCTTCCTTGTGAGCTGGCCTGTTCCATCAGGGCAGTTAGCTGGACGGTGGCCCATGCTATGATAATAAGGATGCTGAATGTGAATTGTCTGCCTTCACCAGCATGACAAAATAGTAAGTAAGTAATGTTTGCGAAAGTTTGGCGTGTTGGAGGCCTCCTTGCTTAACCGCAGCTGAGCAGCACCATCTGCTTGGGAACAGCCAATTTGTTGTTTGTTTTACACTGAGTTTATTAAAGTTACCCAAGGGAGAGTAGGAGGGGCCTTATTTGGAAGCCTGTTTCCTTGAAAACCCGCATGATTTAGTGGAAAGAATACTACAAAAGTCCTCCTAAGACCCAGGTTCTAGTCTTACCCATGGTCTGAGCTGTACAGTCTTATAAATTGTTGCCTCCTCTGAGCTTTGGTGACCTCAGATGCAAAATGAGAATAATGCCTTTCCTTTCTATGTCTCAGAGCTGTTGTAAGAATCACATCAAATCTTATAATGGCAAACTATAAGGGCTCTGATGAGTAAAATTAGATTTCCCAGTGTAGACCATCCCATTGGGATTGTTGCCAGGGTAATTCCTGTCCGTGGGAGTGCATACCAAGAGTCGGTCCCTAAAAGCCTGGGTCCAGGCTTTCTTATCTGGAAGCTTCAAAAGCCACTATGCCTCTTATCCATTACAAATGAAAAGACTCATGAGTAAAATGCATGTTCCTATTTTAAACCTGACAACTTGTTAAGTTATATACAGTATTCCTAAAATGAACTCATTGGCATCAAGACTTGTCTACAAGCATTGAAATGAGGATATAGCTTTACATAGATTAACAAAGTCTTATTAAAAGGTTACCATTTCTGTATTCAGACTACTTGTACATGTTTCTCTTTTCTTCTAAGGATTCAGAATATTTAATTCAAATCATTTATTCTCTTGCCGTAAACTCCAGACACAAGTCGAAACTTACTTTGTTAGTTTCTCTTCTCAAACACTCCGATATTTTCCAGAAGTGATTCAGTTTAATTCAGTGAAATGATCTTTAGTTCAATTCTCAAAAGCAAGGGATGGTGTTCTAGTTAATAAACACTCATAAGAGGCTTTGCTGTAATTCTTGAATATCCTTATTTTTTTAATATTAGGGAGCATCAAAGGCATTAAAATTATACTATCTTTTCGAAGCACTGTGTTGTTAATTAGTCGTTTTCATCATTTTGATCATCTTGTTGAGAAGTTGTTTCCACTGGTTGCTACTTTTTTTTTTTTTTAATGTTTTAGCATCTCTGTGTGCTTCGACATTTTTCCTAGTTTTTATCTCAATGAAACCTACCTTTTTTGTATCTAGTGCACATGCATTGAGAGGAAAAGACGTGTTTTTAAAAATTGTCTTAAATTGCTCACATTTTTTAAAACACATATTTTCAATTTTGTGTTTTGAGTCTCAGGTGAAGAGTGTAAGAGAGACTGTAGAAAACATTACTTTTGGAGAAGGCTCCTATTTTGGTTCCACAGATTGAAAATCAGATTTTTCCAAGGATTTTGTAACATATGGAAATTGACATCCCCTGAAATTTGGAGACACCAAAATAGAAAGTAAGGCCAGATTTATTTTCACTTTTAGTAATCTGGCTCTATTACCTTGAATAAACTAGCCTTTAGAGAATTACTTAAACTCATTGTAGAAAATATGGAATATTTAGAAATATATAAATAAGAAAATAGAATATGAGACATTCTACACCCAGATATAATTACTGCTGATGTTTTAATATATTTATTTCTGTATTTTATTAGTATGCCTGTAATCTATATATTTTTTAAAAAACAGGCACTGATCAGTTTAGAGTCTTGCATTTTGCTTTTTCTCTTGCCATCACATTATGAGCATTTGTAGAATGAATAAACTAAAAGCCATTAAATATTCAATAGTACATTAAAAGGTTGTATATTATTCTTTATATGGACATGATATAATTAATTTTACTGCTCCATTATCATTAGGTAGGGACAAATTTTTTACTATTATTAATAACCCATAACAGGACATTTCCACACACAAATTGTTTTTATTTCTAATTGTTTCCTTGCAACCATCAAAGACTTTTTGTGTTTCTCCTATCAATTTGGATCTTTTTCTATATCAAAGATACTAACTTTTATTGAGACAACTTTTCACTCATTAGTTAGAATGTTAGAAACATTAGTTTCATTTAGTTAGAAACATTAAATAGAATATTTTTCAAAATTTTTTTAGCTAGTCCTTATTCAATAAATGGAGTTTCTCCTCTGGGCTAGGGATACTAGGCAAGATAGACATGCTCTCTGCCCTCACCATGTACACACCACAAGACTCGGGAGAGTCTTATATTTCTTCAATGGAACTCTAAAATCGCTTTGACGGTATAAGAAAAAATGCAAAGATTTTAATTGTAATAGCAGTAAACCCATGAAATGGAGAAGAATTGACATTCTTACAAAATTTGTTCTATGTCTGAGACATAAAAAATTTGTTCTATGTCTGAGACATAAAAGGTCTATTTATGTGTTCTTTTATGATTTTTCAGTGAAGAGCTGTAGTATTCATTTGTTCCTGCATGTTTTTATGTTTTTAATTACAATTCTTTTTATTTTTTCATTGCATGTTGAGAAATGTCTTCCCCCCCATTCTGTTACTGTAGATATAGAAGAAAATTATTCATTTTTGTATATTTAGTTTATGTTTGGCCATTTTCTAGAGTTCTGTTTTTAGTTCCTCTATGAGACAGATAGACATAGTTTTGAAGCGTGGCTTTGGCACTACCAGTTCTGTGGAGTTGGGCAAATTACTCAAGTCTTGGTCTGTTTCTCAACTGAGCGTGAGGACAATACACTAACCTTAGGAGTTATTAAGATTTAATGAGCTACATGTTAAATAGCTTAGCACAGTCCCTGGCACATAGTACTCATTTGATAAATGGTAGATCGTTATTGCCATTTTCTTAAATTCTTTAAATCATTTACTTCTTTATTTCAATTTAGCCTAATGTCTTCCACTACAATGAAGTTTTTCCTTTATAAACTTAAATACTACACCATTCAAAGAATAAATTTTATTGTTGGCATTACTGTTGTTATTATTGTAACTACATGGCAGATTTTACCTATTATATTATGATTCTTTTGTTCCATTTAATTTTTTAATTCTAATTCTTCAGTATCTGATATTATGGTTGTGATGCCTGCTTTGTTTTTGTTGTGATTGTGTGATACTCCTTTTTAATCTCTTTGTCCTTTTGTGTTAGCTATGTTTCTATTAGCAGCATACATTCAAGATAATTTGCCCCAAACTTAAATCTTTTGTTTGCTTTTAAAAATAGTTCTATAGATTCACATTTATGTCATCGTTGATGTATTTGATATTACAGTAGTGCCCCCTTATCCGCAGGGCATACGTTCCAAGACCTCCAGTGGATGCCTGAAACTGCAGATAGTACAAAACCCTGTACATACCATGCTTTTTTGATTTAACTCATAGAAATGGCCTCTAAGTGACTAGTGGGTGGTGGTCTATACAGTGTGAATGTGCTGGACAAAGGGATGATTCAAGTTCTGAGCGGGATGGAGTCAGACAGCACAGGTTTCATCATGCTCTTCAGAGTGATGTACAATTTAGAACTTACGAATTGTTTATTTCTGAATGGCAGTCATGGATAACTGAAACTATGGAAAGCAACACTTCGGATAAGCGAGGACTATTGTATTTCTCACATTTGTTTAAAATGTTTCATACCTCCTGGTTTTGTTTGTCTTTTCTGTTGCTTTATGGATTTTTTCCTTCCTTTCTCCCCCTTTTTTCGTTCCTTCTTTCCTGGCATCTTCTTCCCCTTCCCCATAGTTATTTATAAAGTATGCATTTGTTTTTAACACTAACAATTACCTTTACATTAAAATAACACTTCTTAAGCCTATATTTCACTAATTACCAGCATGGAGAAAAAGCTGCTTTTGATTAGCCACTTTGTAGGATTGGAAATTACCTCTTTTTACTACTTTTTAAAAAAACGTACTTCACAGTTTGTGTTAATATAATCTGGGGTGTTACAGCCAGATAATAAAAGTTAAATAATGATTTTTTAAGTATTAGGCTTCTTCTTTTGCAAGAGCCATTATATAAAATATTAATTCATATTCATAATAATATTTTAACACCTTAGACACATCATCATTGATATTATTTTTTATTTACCATCATTTATATTATAACAATACTTTGTTCTTTTCATTTGTAAAAATTTTGAGTATTCTCTGTTAACTTAAATATACCTTTGAGTAATTTTATTTTTAGAAAACGGTATATGGATAATATGCTTTCTGAGCTCTCGTGTATCAGAGACTATCTTTGTATTGCTTTTATAGATATCCCACAATTGTTTGCATATAGAATTCTCAAATTAATTCCACAAAATTGTTTAGATATTATTTCATTATCACCCAGCATTGAATGCAGCTCAACAGAAGTATAAGACCAGCTTAATTTTTTTACTTTTTTGTAAGTAGCCCACATTTCTTTTTGATATAAATAGGATATTATTATGTTTTTACTTTCCTGCCACCCTTTTAAATGATTGTCCTTAGGTTGGCTTCCCATTCTCTGTTTCGTGTCTGCATTTGTCTTGTGACTCACAGTTTTTGTTGTTGTCCTTTATCTGTACCCTCTGCATGTGCACCTAGTATTGGCTTTTATGTCACTGACCGTATGTTTTCAGCACAATCTATGCATTAATTCTTTAATGCAGATTCATTTACAACAATAAAATTCTAGATCCCTCTCAAGCTTTTCTTTATTCTTTCAATTTCTTTATCACCTACACATACATCTCAACTCTTTTCAAACCAGTCTGTTTCCTGATAATTTTTATCATTCATCTCTTGCTTTTGAGGACAAGTTTTCTTAAATTTCATCAAGAACACTGAGATGATGCTTTCCTCTCTCCCTTTAGGTAAGTAAACCGAGAACAAATGTACTCTGTTTTTATGTTGGAGAATCTCATGATAAACTGTTGTCATCTTTATTTGCTTATCTAAGAATGAGGTGTGTTTTATTCATGTCAGGCTTTGTGAATATACCATACTGGGTAAGTAGATTCTGTTTGGCACACCTTAATGTTTTCCTCGTTATTAGAATCTTCTATTTAAATCTTAAGCTGATGGCCAGATATCCAGTGGCATGTAGTCATCTATCTAGTAACATTCTTTTGAACTGGAGAGGGATTTTCTAATCTATTTTGGTCATCTCACTTTGAACAATTTGGATTTTCTCATTCCAGAACTAATAACGTAAAATCCGTGATGTCCAAACCGTCTCCCTTCCAAGGCTCTTATTGATTCAGACATTTCTATCTCAGATTCAGTGTGTCACTACCCGTCCCACCCATACGTATGGTGCCTTTCTAAAATTATAACCTATGAAAGAACATATAACAGTAGGGATTAATAAGGGTTGAGAATGGCGTGGTGCAACGATAATGGATTAGCTCTGGTTATTTAATAAAGCAGCTTCTACTCAGTTCCTGGTTCTGTGGTCAGCAGGGCCACCATGTTGCTGGGAAGGGGTACAGAGTAGAGGTGAGTGGGAATCTCCAACTTTCTTTTTTCCCTAACCTGACTGTCTTGTCTCAGGGCTTTATTCATTCTTTGATTACATGCTACTTCTCCTGGAGGAGGTCTGATTATCTATTAATTTATCTAGTTTCCACTACTATTGCAACTTATCTGTGTTCCCCCTGTGTTTCAAGAGTGTGAAGAGAAGGGTGAATCAGATGCCCCTGAGTAATCCCTATAATAATACAGAAGCATGGTATAATTCATAAAGAGAAGCACCTCACAGGCTGAAGATAAAACAGTGAGCAGGGAGTACATCTTCAGTAGAAAGCAGTTAACAGAGGATCAAACCCAAGCCTTCTCTGAGATCCAAGGGTGGGGGCTTCACCATCGTTCGTATGAGAATATTAGACACAATTATTGTGTTCATATTAGAGAATCTATAGAACTTATCATGCATAATGAATAAAAGAAATGTATAAGGGGAATTGTCGGGGAGCGTTAAGAAGCCAAGGTTCTGGGAGTTTGGGTCGGCTGATGATACTTAGAAGATCTTTGCAATTCCGTTTATTAACCTGCTTATTCCCTAAATCAAATAATCTGTTCATTGAGGTCTCAGCTGTGTGTTGAGAATAACATTTCAGGAAAACTGTCTTTAGACTCTCCAGTTTTGAGCATCCCGAGGGAGCCATTTTTAAAGATATCTCTCATTCATGCATGCAGCTTTTGAATTCACATTCTTCTTCCTGTTCAGAATAGAGCAGCTGCTTCTGCAACTGCAGGAGACTTTCCTACTTAGAGTGAGGTCTGTCACTATCATTTTATGGCAGACTGAATCTAATGTTGGTTGTTAGTTTCTGAAATAATTAAATATTGCCTGCTGTTGTACCTCTTCAATCTAGGGCTCCTTATCAAAGCACAATTGGGGCCACTACTCTGAGACTCTTGCACTTCACTCCTTGGACTCCCTATTTGGTAGAAATCTAAAGGCACCTTAGTGTCTTCCAAGCTGGAGATGGGCCACACTTAAGTGGTGGAAAACATGGAGCCAAGTCTTGAACCAGGAGGAAGATTTGGGAAGTGGTATATAGATAAGAGTTGGTAACCAGAACCAAAGAGTCAAGGGTTATTTCACTGCCAGTGTACCTGTCCTACTCTACACAAGTGGCTCCCTGGATCTCAGAGGCTGAAGATCAAAGAATTGAAGGACAGTAAGTTGATGGGCACTAAGAGCTAGAAGGACTGCTCAGTAGTCACCCAGAGAGCTGGATGGATGGCTGTGGAGACTCATAAACGAAATCTGGACAAGATAGGCAGTGTCTGACTATGACAGACCACTAAAATCTATGGTAAATAAAACTTATGGATGAATCGTTTTGAAAGTTCTGTATTTGACAGAAACACTTGCGTTGCAGTCAATAAGCTGATGATAAAAATAAGGTCTTTGTTCAGTAAGAGTGCTAGCTGAACACTTTATAGTTCCAAATGCCCTCCTATTTATTCTGAATTAGCTTGTTCACACTTTAATGGATAAAAATTTCCATTTTAGGTTTTTATATATGATTATGCATTGCAGTTAAAGCCTGTTTTTGGGAAAGGTTTTACGATGTGATTTTATTTGTTTGCTAGTAAAATTTATTACCGTAATACTTTTACCATCCTCATTTAATCTTCAGACTTCTCTTTAAAAAAAGTCAATTCACCATTATGTTAGCTTCTCACATGAGGTGAGGGGGGTTCTAGTTTCACAGTGTGTACATTCTTATTGGCTTTGTCTTGAATATTTTATTCTGAGGACAGTGAAGTCAGTTTTTACAGGAATAAATCATTTAACCATATTAAGATTTGAAAGGGTTATAAATGGTTTATTTTCAGCCATCATTGTGAAAAGAGGAAAAGGGGGGAAACACTCCACGCTAACACTTAAACGTGTCAATTTTCAAAATAGTGCTGAGGAAAAGCTTCTCCTTTTTTTTCTTTTGAAACAACAGAGTTGGGTGAAGAAGTTATATCTGGTTTATTTCCTCTTGAGCTATTCTCTCCTAGTTATTTTAAATATGAATATACATTTCTGAAACAATAATTGTTATTTCTAGGGAGTATACTAAGAAATAAATACTCCTTGCATATGTATAAGAAGTCTAAAAATACTTCTTTTATATATATTTTACATATAAATTTCTCTGAATTTATTTATTTTAAAGTTTAAATTATTTTCATGGATTCCAGAAATAAAGCTTATAGTTCATTTCCACTTTTTATAGCACCTTATATTAAGACCCATTTAGTTTTTAGTATTTTTGTCCATGGATGTATCTTCATTCACATATGTATGTGAATTTCTTTGTTTTAACACTCAGAACATGATAATTTAAGCCCTGTGTTGTTATTGAACTTTATATGGGTCGAATGTTTCCCACAGGACTAAACTGCTCCCAGGACTGCCACACAATGAGATAAAGACAATCTAGCAAAAATGGATCTGCCAGGAATTCGAGGCCAGCCTGGGCAACGTAGTAAGATCCTGTATATACAAAAAAAATTTTTTTTAAATGTGTTCATTACCATTGATTCTGGTCATTGATTTTGCAGAACAACTCAATTTAAATTTTCAATGGTTTAGATTTTTTTTCTGAAGTAATTGATCAATCTGTTTATATCATAGAGTTGGTCTTGAAGAGAGAAGGAATAGTAGGTAATTTAACTAATGCTTAGTCTCTGAGCAAAGTACATTCTTACATCCCATGCAATGAAAGCCTCCTTTATGTTCCTAATAGATGCTGAATTTTTATTTTCATGTTGTTAATACACAGCAAGTATTTTAAACTGATGTTTGTATGATTGTGCTTGAAGATATAGTTCATATGAAAGGTGCTATAAAAATAAAATCAAATTCTATATATTACCACACATCCATATATACATACACAAATCATCAGCCCAAATTCATATTCCTCTAAAAATATTTGTAAATGTTACTCCAAAGACACATTTGGTAGATTCATTATTGAATCTTTATATAAAATTCATCTTCTATAAGCTGTTCAAAATCTTTAGAATTCTTCAACATGTCTTAATAATTGTGTTTGAGTAATGTTTTACATTTATAGGAGTTTTAAAAAGGCAGGTGCAATGTGACATATCAGAAGAAGCAAATTAAACTCTTGTAAAGCACAGCTGGAATGCTAAAAATGTGTATTTGTAATTTAAATATGTGACACCATCACACTGTAAAATCAGTTCATAATTAGAAAACATCTGTTTTTTCCAATATGATGCCTAATAGTATATTTAAATAATTTAGAATGCAATAAGAAAAAAAGTCAAGGAACAATAAGTGATTCATGGACATTTCTTTCCTTTTGTTTAATGCCCTGTAAGAGATCTTGGAGTAACCTATCATTTTGAAGCTACTTTTTGGATAGTGCCTAATCATCAATGTTGAAATGCATATGCCAAACATATGTGCTGTTATGACCTTATTGTGTCAGTCAAAAATAAATAAATAAAACCAGTCTGTGTAGGTTGTGGTGTTAAGAAGAATTTACACACTGTTATTTCTCTCTCACCTCACTCTTTTTTTTTTTTTCAATCAAAAGACATTGAAGCAAATACAAGTTGATTATTTTCACAGGAAATTTATGAGAATGTATTGCAAATACAGGGGAGCTGTTGAGTTATATGAGTTCTGGAAATATACTTGAACCAGGTAAAATATTGAGCTAAAACTTATCAGAATCAATTCTAGTTTAGCTAATAAAGTTTGAACAAAACCACAATTTCTCAAATGAAGTTAACATGGTAGATTAGCCACACATCTGTCATCAGTGTTTGCATAGGAAGGTATTATATATGTGTGATGAAAACTCAAATGGGTATTTCTATTCTAACTGAAGTATGCACGCTGAATGGTCTCTTGGTTTATTGGCAGTAAATCGTGTAACTTTTTTTTTTTTTTTTTTTTTTTTTAACCACAATCCAAGTAATTGTTTCAGATATGGACAAACCAAATGTGGCTGGAAAGTTCTGGTTTTGGTATTTCTGGCCTGTGTCTGGAAAGGTTTGCAAATCCAAAAATAAATAAGTAATAACACAAATTAAAAAATAAAGTATTTGCACCAGCTAAGAAGCAGAATAAAAGCAGTTGGAAATACAGGTCAGGAGTACTGCTAAAGCTTAGTCACCAAGCTATGGTGAGTAAATTAAGTGCAGCAAGGACTGCCTGACAATGAACTTTGTTGAGCGAGAGGGGAGTATTATAATGTAGGGACTTACCTTTCTATTTTAAATGCAATTTTGTCCCTTTAATTCTTGGGGTGGGGGTGAAAACTCGCTTTTTTTGCAGGGTTAGAGTACACAAAGTTAATCTGCTACCATTTATATTCATCTACTTTGAATCGCCTTTTATCCACCTTTGCTGCTACAGCCCACCACTCGCCATTCATCAGTTTATGCATTGTGCGCCAGGGCAAATAATGACAGAATATCTAGCTAAAGAAGGGGTACTTAATCAGCAATCAAGATTCAATTTGTTTTAATTTTAGCAGGTGTTTGTGAGGTACATTGATGGGAGAGATAATATGTGCTGCTTTCATTAGCTCTCTTGTTTTTGTGCTTGAACATTTAAGAGCCAGATGTTCGGAGGTGAGCTGATCAGAATATTAAGTCTCCAGAGGTTGGTTTCCATAGTGTTTTACATTCCTTTCTTTATCTCCCTCGGTTCACCCTGAGCTGTGAGGTGCAAGTGCTGGCAATGACAGACTCCATCTCAACGTCCTGTTCAACTAAGGCTTTAAATTAGTGGCTAATTTTTGGTATGAAATACTTTAGTTTAATAATCTGTCATTAATTCTTGGACTCTGGGTCAGCCTCGTTTCTCATGTAAAACTCTTTCAGCTGATAATCTATTTTAGAAATTATTTGTGTAGCAGCTGGTATTTCATCAGGATATTTTCCTGAAGCAAAAACATGAGAATCACAAAAGCTACAAAGGTAATGACCCCATCATCTTGTTAAATCAATATCCAAACTTAATCAGCACTCTGTCATCACTAGTCAAAACACGACAGTGATGACATCATCATGGCATGAACAATAATAGGAGGGCCATTCAAAATTGGTAGCTTTGCTGAGCTTGAAAGTTATTACCTCTCACAAGGAAGTGTGAATATTTGTACATGAAATTATTTTCTAATGTAATATAAGATTACTAGGTTACAGTTTGCAATAAACCATTAATAGGACTTGGGGAAGATCTAATCAGTAGTTAGGCTTTGCTTTACAATTTTTAACTCAATTGTGACTGAATTTTGCTTTTATTTAATAGCTTTCCTAGTTACATTTTGATTAGCTGTATATATATTTTTTCTTCTTTTGGTTCTCCTAGCTATTAGGAGTGAATATCTGGGAACATGAATTCCCTTTCTGCTGAAACACGAACCTACCAATAAAGAGTTAATTAAATTGGCATTGGCAAGATGTTTTCTCCCACCATTAATTGTTCTCTGCTTACTTTGATGTTCAAGTATTGTACTGTTTTATAAGCATATTTTCTTAATTGTGTCACCTTGTACTATAAGTATGTCAGAGGGGAAACATTTGCAAGTGATTAGATATGGACCTATGTGTCACCAAATGTATGAGGTACATACCCTTATAGGATATAATTGTGATCTTTTAATATGTGGCCATTGACCCAGACTTGTTATTATCTATTATAGTTTATAATAATGTATCTCTTTATGATTAAATGATGATGCCCGGCAGAACACTATGATTAGCATTTCAGTTATTTATAGATTATGTCAGAGCAGTAATAAACATAAAATGCTGTTAATGTGTGGCTAATGAAATCTGGACATGAACAAGTTTATGAATTGATATAATTCATTTGAGTGTTCTAACTGAGCTGCTGGTTCTTGTCATAATTCAAAAGCTTAGCAGCGTTCACCGATTAGATGGTAGACTAATTTGCTACAAAAAGTCAATGGGCTTTCATCGTCTTGGGCCATCATGCCCAGCATGGCTGATTGCATAAGGACTATACAAAGTAATTCTCATAAGTATATTTATTATGCTTAATATGTTTGGTGAGGATAGGACAGAATCTACTATTACACAACATATGTAGAACAAAAATCACAGTGTTAATTAGATAGCCAAAAAGATATGTACAGCAAAATCATGAAAGGCTAGAGAATTATTTGATTATTACAGGAGGGAAAAACTGGGATGATTCAGGAGCAAATGCTGATGACAGCTGCAAAATGAGGGTGTCTCCTTTTTTTCTCTTGAGATATTCATTAAGTATATATTAAATTCTGTTTGACTAGTAATGACTGGAAGCTGCAAGTTGCATATTTCAGGTTGTTTGTACAAGCTCCATGTCTATAGCTAAGTTCGAGTCTCCAAGGAAGGCTGGCAGTTTGTGTTTCATTTTAATGATGCTAATATATTTGTTGGAAGGGTCTGTTTTTAGACCAAATGTGAAACCATACTTTTTTTTCAGGAAACAGAATCTGAAGATGTCTCTTCGTTTCTTAGAGATCAATCTTTATGGCTAGATAGAAGACCACTCAGCCTTAGCTTATGAAAAACAAGTTCTAGACTCTCAGCAGTGTTCGACCCCTTAGCATGGCACACTTGCACAGAACACTGCTAAATAGCCATATCTGATTCCTTTAAGAAATAAGTAGGTTTCAAATGTCATAGAGTAAAGAGAAATAAAGAGAAATGATGCACAGATTTTCCAGCTTCAGTTTGAATGTACAATAGCTGGTGTCTTCAGAGTTTCTGTTTGTCTAATTTATGTACTATTTCCATAATATCAAATGTTTCTTTTTATTAATTCATTAAAGGTCTATAGGGGTCAGAGCAAGGACAAAGGAGAAAATGATTCAAGGTGGCAGATTTTGGGTCAAATTTATTATTGTTGTTATTATTAAAACCAACACTACTCATGACAGCAGCTTTCCAACAGTAATGATCAATGATTACTTTCTAGCCATGAAGTAAGTTACCTCTGATGATATGAGCTGTCCCTGGGGATAGTCAAGTAGAGTCTGTATGATTAGATGAATGATAGAAATCCAGGATGGATCAGCATTTTCCAAAGTGTGTTTTATGGAATGTCAGTACCTTGAAATGCTCTATTTAAAAAAATTGTATTCAAGTTAGTATGGAACACACTACATAGTCCAACATGTGCTCCCACCACTCTAATAATCAGTCTAAAATTAATCTGATCTTTAAATCTATGCAACAGACAAGAAATAGTTACGGGACATAGTAGATATTCAAATTTTTTTTTGTGGAGTGAAAATATTAATTATGACTTTCTGGAAGGTTCTTTATTGGCGATATTATAGCAGTTGTAATGTAAGCCGCAGCTTTTGCATATTAAATACAGTTGATTTCATTACTTTTCCTGCAGCTGTGGCATAAGGGTAAATTTGTTGTTGTTTTTTTCTTTTTAAAGAGGAAATAGGAAAACATCTCGGAGAATGGAATCTTTCACTCCTTGTTGGACAGTTTTTCTTTTAATAGTTAACATTCTCTCCTGAAACTGTACATTTCTGCAAAATCTGCTGGGGCAGATGCATAGACCCTCTCAGAGTTCAATGAGCGTAGAGTGAAGGGCCTTTGTACCTGGAGGGGTGAGAGAGAACAGAAAGATTAGTGAGGTCTGAAAATGGGAACAGGTTATGAAGACCCGATGCAGGGTGAGGAACATGGTACTGGCTGGGAGGCCACACTCTGCAGCCTGGCTCTCCTGTTTTCTTTCATGGTATTCCTTCTGCTTAAAAGCCACTTGCTCTTCTTTTTTTTTCTCTTTCTTATGTAAGGAAATTATATTTTCCTTTAATACCAAGCACAAAACAAACATCACTGCCTTTGTGAAGATTTCCTAGGTTCTCCCTGACCCTTATTGTATTCCTATACTGTAACTGTATATGTACCATTACTGCTTTACCAATCATATTGAATTGTAAGTATGTTTATCTCTCTATAAATATTTCTTGAGTTTATGAAGAGTAGGATCTGTGTCTTATTCCACTTTATATATGCTACAGTGCCTAGGGAAAAAATGCCTAGTTCATATAATCTCCATGGTGGATGGGCCTGGAAGGAAAACAAGACCACAGGGAGGCCATTCGGCTAAGATGGTATCCTTGAAGCTGTGAGTCCCAATCTTCGAAGACTGGCTGTATAAAATGACCCAGAGTTTTATATATATATATAATTTCAACTGGGAAGGCTTGTAAGCTTGAATTGGGAAAACAAACAAAAACAAATAACATGAAACACATAATTTCCCAGGGAATTGAGTTCCCTGTTTTAGGTCAAGAGGCCTCAAACATTAACTTTAAGGCCCAGTGTATCATCAGGAAGTGTAGTCCTGAGAAGTAAGTGTAAACCTGAGGAGAACTGGAGCTCATCCAGCATTGAGGTTTCTCCTTTATTTACCTATGGCTGGAAGATTTTACTAATCCCTTAAAAAGGAAATAATCACAATAGCAAAGACATGAAATCAACCCAAATGCCCATCAATGATAGACTGCATAAAGAAAATGTGGTAATATACACCGTAGAATACTATGCAACCATAAAAAGGAACAGAATCATGTTCTTTGCAGGGGCACGGAAATTGCTAGAAGCTGTTTTCCTCAGAAAACTAACACAGGAACAGAAAACCATACACTGCATGTTCTCACTTATAAGTGGGAGCTGAATGATGAGAACACGTGGATACATGGTGGGGAACAATACACACTGGGGCTTGTTGGGGGTGGGGGGTCGGTGGAGGGAGAGCATTGGGAAGAATAGCTAAGGGATTCTGGGTTTAATATGTAGGTGATCGGTTGATCTGTGTAGCAAACCACCATGGCACACGTTCACCTATGTAACATACCTGCACATGTACCCCGGAACTTAAAAGTTGAAGGAAAAAAAAAAAAGAAAAAAAACAAGGAGGTGATCAACAGAGAAATACACCTGAGAAGGATATACATTCATATATATATATATGTGTGTGTGTTTGTGTGTGTATATATATATGTAATAAACAATGTTTGTATCACCCCCAAATTCATATGTCAAAATCTCAATCCCAATCTGATGGTATTTGGAGGTGGGTATTTGGGAGGTGATTAGGTCATGAGGGTGGAACTCTCATGAATGAGACTAGTGCATTTATAAGAAGAGGCCAGGCTGGGCATGGTGGCTCACGCCTGTAATCCCAGCACTTTGGGAGGCCGAAGCAGGTGGATCATGAGGTCAGGAGATCAAGTCCATCCTGGTAACACGGCGAAACCAGGTCTCCACTAAAAATACAAAAAATTAGCCGGGCGTGGTGGCAGGCACCTGTAGTCTCCACTACTCGGGAAGTTGAGGCAGGAGAAATGCTTGAACCCGGGAGGCGGAGGTTGCAGTGAGCTGAGATTGCACCATTGCACTCCAGCCTGGCCTGGCACAGCAAGACTCTGTCCCACCCCCCGCCGCCCCAGAAAAAAGAAGAGGCCAAAGAGCTAGCAAGCTCTTTTTCTGTCAGGTGAGGACAAGCAAGAAGATGGGTGTATGTAAACCAAGTACTTGTTTACTCTGATCTTGGACTTTCAACCTACAGAACTGTGAGAAATAAATGTTCGTGTTTAAGCCACTCATTTTATGGCATTTTGTTAGAGCAGCCCAACCTAAGAATATATGTATGTGGATATGAGTGTGAATGTGTGTCTGTGGGTATGCGTGTGTGTATATTAAATAAAATGTTTATATACATGTATGTCTTTGTTTATTGCTTGATAAAACTATATAATATTCACCCATAGTGTTTCTCACTTATAAGTGGGAGCTTTATCATCAAATACAACTGAAAACTGCACCAGACTTATTTGGAAATGGAAGGCTGGACCTCATTCTTGTATGCATTGGTAGGGCATGCCTTCTGTATCATTTGGAATCCAGGTACTTACACTGATGAGGCCCCTTATGACATGGACTTCTCTTCACACAACATATTTTTTTAGAAGTAAATCTCATAATGCAAATATATTTGTATTTAAATTTAGATGTGCTTATGTTTTAATTTTTAAAAAGCTAATAGGGTAATAGTGTTTTGCTGTGCTAAATCAGTAAAGCTCAATTTGGGAAATTCCCTATTGCTATACCATAGAATTCAACCGGGCCTCAAAGGTAGTAATAAAGGATCATGAGCTATTTACAATATTTCTAAGAGCTTAATGGAAATTATAGGTTTACCTGTGATAGAACTGCCTATGCTGACTTAGATGACAAGTTTCTTGCTTCTGGTTTTAATGACATCAACTTAATGTGGTACTGTTGATTTGCTCATAGTGTTCTAGATTGAAGACAGAAACAGCTATAGAGTCATGTATAGTGTCTTCTTACCTGACTTATTTGGGACTGAATGTTGTTCAAATTATTATAAACATAAATAAAATCAAGAGTCTTAAAAATAATATCTATTGAAGCACTTTATTTAAATTTAAAACTCTGAGTGGGGGACCAGTGATTGAGATTCTGTATAACTCTTTTTGTATAAAGTATACCAGTGATCTATTCTTTATGATGATCAATTTCAAATTCTTTAAAGTGAAGTGAAAACTTACAGGTGGATGCTCTGAAGAAATACGAAAGCAAAATCCTTCAGTTTTTTTATTTTTTATTTTTTTTAACAACTTTTCCTAATCAGTAGTGGCTTTTCCCAGAACTAAAACTTCAGCATTTATGTATGGTGGTGGTGGTGGCTTGGGGGTAGCTCAGGTTTACCTATTTTTCCCAAATAGGTAATGTAGTTTCATGAGACACAGTAAGTCTTTCTTTTTGCGCTATGTTTCATCGTTTCGTGGACTTTTAAGAGAGCTTTTACACATACATGTATATACATACATATTTGCTTTACAAAATATTTAAAATTATCATGACTTAATACATGCCACTTGTATAGTTGATAGAGCCTTTGAAAAAAACAGGAGTTAATAAGATCTTTGAAAGAAGAAAGTAAAAAGTAATAATAATAATGAATCCCTTGATTCCAGAGACCTAGTTTTGAAAAAACGTTCTTGAAGTTTTTCAATTAGAAGTAGCTGACCAACAGGTTATGGTTCAGGTAGCTGGATGAGGACAAATTCTGCTTCAGTTTGTCAAATTCTGGTTAGAGAGATACTCTACATGCAGCTAATGTTATATAGGAAGTGTCTCCTCTGATTGGGGCAGGCAGGAATCTAGGTCCTACAAATTGTCTTAATATATGATCTTTTACAGTAGCATTTTGCATTTACAGAATAAAATACTTTCAACATTTTATCAGGTTCTTCATAAAATTCTGTTTGTTTTTTTTCTCATAATACATGCTAGGAAGTTCCTGTCTGCCTCCTATGTCAGCTAAAATTTCATTTTACATCTAATCATAACTTCAGATTTGATGCCTTTACTAAAGGGTCTTAGTAGGTCTTTATTGAAGGCCTTTTCTGTATTCCAGATTTAGTCATTAAAATATTACAATTCTGCCCATTCCATTAGAGGAATATCCATTTACAATAAGTAGGGCCAAACAATGAGGTCTCAGTGGGCCATGAGGCTGTTTGCCTGTTCTAATTCAGAGTCCTTTAACTATAAACTAAGCAATTTTGCTGTGATGTAACATGTAGGAGAATGTTAGTTACCAACTATTTATGAGTCCTCTGCATTTCCTAGCATCTGTACATATAGGTGTGTTTATGTGACTAATACTTACTGGTGGAACATGAGTAAAAGCGACATTTCACTCGCAGTCCAGGGCAGTGCAAAGTGGGTGGAATTTCTATATTTTTGCTCTTCCTCTTTCTCCCTGCCTCTCTTCTTCCCTTTCCTTTTCCCTTTCTCTTTCTCTCTCTCCCTTTATATATTAGAAGTGAAGATCCTTAGAGGGAGAATTGCAAAATGGAAGTATCCTAAGTCCCTGAGTCCCTGAGCCACCCAGTGGAGGATTATCCAAAACACAAAGCCTGTGTGTGCATAGGTATACAGGTATGTGTGGAGGGGTTAAGCTGCTGAAATTTTAGGGTTTGTTACCACAGCATATATTAGCCTGTCCTGAATGATAGAATGGTTCACTGTAGCTTAATTCATTAAAGGAACCAGAAGAATTTTAGCTTAGTATGCTCTTTCCTATAACATATTTTTATAGTACAATACTACTAAAGTATACACTGATGAATCAGATCCAAAAAATGAATAGCTATCTGTTTTTGTTTCTGCAAAGACTTGCTGTGATTATACAGATAATCAAAGTAGAAATTAAAAATTGAGCCGTTGTGCAAAAACCAGCAGCAATAGTCTTGGCATCCTCTCTCTCTGCCTCTTCAGCTCATGACATTTATTTGGTGCTTAGTAGTTTCCAGGTATTGTCTAACAGTTTTACCTGGATAATCTAAATCAATCCTCACAGTAACCCTGTGAGACAGGTAGCATTATTTTTCTCATTCTACATATCAGGAAACTGAAGCCCAAAGAGGTAAATTGCCCAAGGTAACATTGCTGGTAAGTGAAGAGGGGGAGATATGAAACTCAGAGTATGCTGCCAGAACCTGTATGCTTAACCTGTATGTTTATATAAAGCAGAGTTTTTAAAAATGATATTCATAATTGTGGATTTGTAGGTTCATAAACATAGTGTGTTGCATGTAGCCAGTACTCCAAAAATATTGATTCATTTCTTGATGAAGGACTTCCAGAATCCAACTGTTTATGGTCTCTGTATTGGTAAGATTTAGGGCCATGAATAGCACCCCTGTATTCAAGGCAAAGGAAATACCTCTTTTTGCAACTTACCTTCATTTGGCATGTTCTTCCTTGCTTAGAAATTCTGGTGGTCCCTTGAACCCAGAGACAGCAAATGTTCAGAGCTCCTATGAGAGTGGAAGATTATGTGTAGACTGAATTTGAAGAGCCATATACCACAGAAAAATGTTCATCCTTTACTGTACAAATTATCTTAAAATATCCCATACTCATCTCCAGAGCTTGAGTGTGTTCCTTAGCCTTGTTTGCAGGTTCTGCTGATATAACTTCATTTCCTATTCTCTCTAGATCACAAACACTTTATAAAACAAAAGAATTGCTATAAATGATGTCTAGGATGTGTTCTTTTGACTGCCAGGCAGATCATATAACTGTATCCACCACCCATCTTTATTACTCTTTCTATAGTTCCTTTTCCTATAATGGTAAAGAATGCTCAAACATTAGGGTTAGATAGACCTGGATTTGCATCCAATCTATACTATTTAATGGAAGTTTGTCTGTGGGAAACTTGTTACTAAATTCCTCCAAGCCCCATATCTCTCAACTGTAAAACAAGTATAATCACATTGACTTAGTAAAGCTTGGCCTGTAATAGATTCTCAATGAATGGCAACTTCCTTCACCTGTTAGCTTCTTTCTCTGTCTCTATATATGCCATATGTCAAGGCCTGGCTTTAATTTCATCTCCACCTTGAAGTCTTCTCTGGTGAAGTCTACTTTATTTTTTTTTCACCACTTCTCAATTTGCTTTTGCACTTATTTTCCTGTGCTTACAAGTCATCCTTTATTATAACTGATATATGAGCTGACACCTAAAATCAAATCTTGTTTAGCCATTCTTTTGTTGATTTCGATTGTCCAGCTAGTATGCATATTGAGGGTAAGAAGGCCTTTTCTCCTGCATTTCCTATAGAGCTGGGCACACAATAGTTAGTCAATACATAGTTCTTTTAATTGATTGTCAACTTGTTTATCCTTGCTATAAACCAGCATGAGAAGAGGGGCGCAAGTCAATTTAACAACTACTTAATTATTTTCAATTAGATGCTGCATTGCGGAGAAATAGGGAACCCCCCCAAATGAGGAAAAAGTTGTGATGCAGAAAAAAAATGAGTGCAAAATAACTACTGCCATGTAATTTGAGAAATAGAAACACAGGGCATCCAAAAGATGGGGAAAAAATACATCTGGTTTGGAAAATTAGAAAAAATGAATGATATTGTTTCTATTACAATGGACACTGTCAGTTGCATTTTATCCATCTCGAGTTCAACTGCTTTATCATCAAATACAACTGAAAACTGCACCAGACTTATTTGGAAATGGAAGGCTGGACCTCATTCTTGTATGCATTGGTAGGGCATGCCTTCTGTATCATTTGGAATCCAGGTACTTACACTGATGGGGCCCCTTATGACATGGACTTCTCTTCACACAACATATTTCTTTAGAAGTAAATCTCATAATGCAAATATATTTGTATTTAAATTTAGATGTGCTTATGTTTTAATTTTTAAAAAGCTAACAGATGTGTAGAATGGAAAAGTGAAGAGTACACTTTAAAAAAATCATCTGTGATCATTCCAGTGCCCATGCAGAGGTGTTTAACATTCCTCCCTCTGCACATCTCTCTGACCCAACACGACTCTGTGAGCATTTGCTCCCTTATCTCTCCCATCAGCCTCTGTTCAGTTACCTTTCAGTATCGTTCACACTATACATAGTCTTTTACCAAGGAACATAAATCTTTTTCCTGTCTCAACAAAAAAGTGCTTGGTGTAATCATGCACCACCAGCACTAGCCACATTTTGCTGATCCTTTTTTTTTTTTTTATTTTAAACTACTAGGAATTAAATTAGTTTTGCCATATTGTTCCCACGAATAATTTTTGTCTCCCCTTTGAAGATAAACTATACCTTCTTCCTTTTCTTTATTGAGTTAGGGGGAAAAAGATTTGAAAAGATTTGTAATTAAACTTATTACACACTTCAATAAACTAATCTATCATGAATCACTCTTTAACAAATTTGACATCTGTAATAAAACTTTGCTTTTACATACTTCTTTATGTCAGCCCAGATCTTTTAATATTCTTAGTGAGGGAGCCAAAATAATGATAGACTCTTTGTCAGTACAATTAGCATAAATGCCCTGAATAATTGGAAAACATCTACACTTTAAACTTCACTGTGGCCCATTTTGTCTTAGCATTTTGATCTTTCTTTTTTCGCGGGAGGAGGAATAAGCCAGTATGTTCCTCTTTTCTTGATCCTAATGTGAAATTCTGTTTCTGCATATCTAAATACATATCTGACTCAACCCCTTAGAAACTTTGCCCACATCTTTATCTCCTTCCCCATTCACTAGCTTCCCCACTCTGTAAAGTTAAAAAGAATTATGAGTGTCAGCCAAGAGAATGCTGGGCTGCGGAAGTGTGTGATTTGAAGATGTTGATGATAAGCACGGAGAATTACAACTACCCTCTTTAACTAGAATGCCATGTGTTTTCCTCACCACCTACAAAATCCCACTGGCAACTTAGAGGCATAGTGTTTTGTTTGGGTCTGTATCTTACTTTTCAATATGCTGTAATAGAGCAAGCATGTTCAATATATGAGGCAATTAATTTAAAAAATATTTAGCTCATGTACTTTGGAAAGAAATCAGCTCAATTCAGAAATATTATAACAGTTCTAAAATCCCACTCTCTAAGACAAAAGAGGGCTAATTCAGAGTCTGAATAACGAAGATTGTTAAGAGATGTGTTACCTAAAATGCCGGTGAGATTAATTTCTTCAGCAACTTTCAGGATACTTGACAGCCTTTACACAAATAAATATAAGAGCTATTTTACATAATAGGTAGTTAATATATGGAATGCAGTACCTAAAGTAAAAGAAAAATAGCTTTATAATAGATTTAATTTTATTCACTAATTTGAAGTTGATTCTGTAGAGAACCACTACACCGTCCTATAAAAATACTCCCCACCCTTAGTTTTATAGCTAGAAAGAGGGTACTGAACTAAATTGACAGTGGTTAAGTATTGTGGTTTATTTATTCTGTTATTTTCAGTTAGTTATTAAGAGACTTGCTAATAATTCTTGTCTCATTTATTGTGTCTTTATGGAATGTTTTTAGAGTACAAATGGGTGTTTAATTTTTCATAAGAATCTTTGAATTTATAAACAAAACATTTTAAAGATGGATCTAAAATTAAGGTGGCTTTAAACTCTGTACTAGCTGTAAGGCATCAATGTCTATAAACAAAGTCAGTCCAGGTGCTATTTAGAGTTAGGGTTCATCAGTAAGCACAGGTTTACTCAAATTTTCTTTTCTTCTTTCTTCAAAGTATAATGAAAATGGTCAAGAGCTATGCATCAAACACATTGTTAGATGCTTAGGGACATAGCAAATTGGTAGAAAATAAAATTTCTCCCCACAAGATTTCCAATCTGATTACAGAGAAGGCCCAAAGCATAGTGGATTATGATCCAGCTACAAGTGGCACATCCAAACAGAATTAGGAGGAGGAACAATGATTTGGTGTAAAGTAGTTTAAAAACAAATTCTGGAGAAGGAAGAATGTGAACCAGGTCGAGGAGGAAGAGTAGGTAGGAAACATTGCAATGCAGGGCAGAAGAGAGCAGAGTGAAGTGGCATGCAAACAGTATAAGGAAAATGTGTAGGCATGGATTGTCATGAATACGGGAATGATGAAAAGAACTCTGGACTAAAATCAGAAGAGGTAAGTTTTAAATATTGCCTCTGATATTCTGCTTGTCCATCTATAAAATGGGAATATTTATACCTACTTTGAATGTCATACAGAGGAGTTTATGGCTGAAAAATATACTTGTGAAAGTGTCTTGTAAGTTGTAGATCTGAGTTTTATTGTTGTGTTCATTGTTATGCGTATGATGTTTGTGGAAGCAGGGTTGGAGAGAAGTGGAACAGGAGGCCTAAGAAAGCCATTGCCAGTGGAGAGGAATTTAGACTTGCTTCAGGAGATAGAACTAGCCACAGGAAAAATTATGAAGTTCAATTAAATTCCAGTAATATTTACTGATATTGTAATATGTGGTAGTGGTAGAGATTGGTAGAGATTGAATGTGGAGAAGACAGATGTGGGCCCTGCCCTCCCTGAACTTATGATCTTAAGATATTTTCCCCAGCACCCTGTCCTAGTGCCAAACCTACAGAACCTTAAGCATGACCACAATATTACCCATCTGAAAAGTATTGTCTTAAATCATAACCTCTTGAAGCTTTAAGCATATTGGAAAAAAATGACTAGGTATTACATAACATAAAAATGCCAGGTGCTTGGGGAATAATACTAAGCTTTTTACTGAGGAAGTAACACAATACAAATGATATTTGAGGAATATTAGTTAGTTGGGAGTGTGAAGAGCATATTATTGAGAAGTATAGCCCAGAAATTTACTGCTTCCTGAATATCTGAGTGCTTTTCATATATCCCAGGGTCTTTTCCAACTAGCAGCACCATGTTACTAATTCTGGATAATGGGCTGTGAACAGGTGTATTTCATTTCCAGACAACAGTTTTAAGGGTTCGTGCATGGCCATCTAGGTTCTTCTTACCTAGTATGGCAACCCAGGAGGTTTCCACTTGTGGTGGCAGAGACCCAAGATGGAAACAACTTGTGTCTCTGAATTACTTAACACAGGGAGCTGCTTTGAAGATACTCTTGGAACTGCAGCAGACTCTGTGAGCATGAACTTACCCTCTCTCACCTTAAACTGAGTCCTATCCTGACTCTTCCAGAGAAATAGGCTGCTGACAATAACATCTGCTAAATGACAGGAATATTATTTTGGGGATGAGATGATACAGCTTAAGAGCTGGGGAATGCCTTGAATGCTCTGCTTACAGTTCCCAGTCCTTACATGTCACTTTCTTCAACCTCTTACCTGTTAAAAGAAGGCTGCAGGTTGAAAACAAATAAAACAGATTTTTTGTTAGTCTTTTCAAGATTATATACAAAAAATAAAAACAAAGACAGCAAATAAACTGAGAATCAAATCCCAAGGATGGTAGTTTGGTGCATAAAGTTATGTTCTCTGAGGGAAGACATAAATGTTGGATTATAATATCTGCACTGGAATATTCCACTGAAGCTTTCTTATGTCCAGGTTTTCTTTTGATGACTAAGTGTGCCAGCAATGACTCTGACATCTACTGCTATGTCATGTGGGCTTTGTTTACTGTATGAGCAATTTCTCAATGAAGAGAGGCATTTCAATTATTCCCAGTAGCTGTGTGCCTGTTGACACCTTGATGCTGTATAGGAAAGAGTGAGTGAGCTTTAGCCTCTGGAGCCAAACACATTTTATCAAGAAACAGTTTCAGCAATTGACTCTCATCTGGTCATGTTACTTATATCTTGTTATCTCTCAAGGGCCCTGTAATTAAAGCAGGTGTGTGTCCTCTTAAATTACACATGTGGCAACTGTAGACATTGTAGTAAGTTTTAACGGGAGTCCCTAATGACCTGCAGATTCAGTAATTACAGTGAAGCCACTGGTGTGAGTGTTTGGCCAGGGAGAGTGTCAAAATGGGCAAATATATTCCAAAGTGATGGGCTTGAAGGATGTAACCTAACAGAACCAGGAGACTTTTCAAACAAAATCACAAAGATCTCTCCCTCCCTCCCTTCCTCCCTTCCTCCCTCCCTCCCTCCTTCCTTTGTTCCTTCCTTCCTTCCTATTTCCTCCCTCCTTCTCTCTCCTCTCTCCCTCCCTGTCTATAAATAGACTAAAGCAGAATTTGAATTTAGATGTTTTCACAATATTCAATGTAACAAGTAAGAGGCCTTCTTGCTATTTTAATAGCTAATATTTTAATAATCAAGTGACCCAAAATTGTTTTTATGGCAGTTTGGAGGCTACTTTTTATGTCTTAATTGGGTAAAGGTCATGTTCCACAATTCTTGAAAGTTGTGGAAAGGTAAAGACAATTGAGGAGGAAGGAAGAAAGTGTTGAGGTGAGTGAAAAGAAGGTAAGAAGGAATATGTGACAAACAGGACCCAAAAGGAAGAACCAGAGGAGGAGTGATGGTATTTTTCTTGAGGCAAATGGAGAAGGGGAAAATAAAGACCTTCCTCTGAATACATGTGTTTTGCGAAGGTAATTCCACCTAAAGAATAGCAGCACTGTGGCTATGTTCAATGTTCTTATATTTACTTTTTAAGAGGAACATAAAACAACCTTCTCAAGTTATTCTAGAGCAAGAAATATGTAGTAGATGTTACTGGTTCCCTCGGTCCCCTTATTTATAGAAAGCAACCCTTGTGCATTTGGATGGCTTCTGACCTCAAGCTCCTTTCAGTTTCTCTACTTCAGGGAATTCTCTTAGGCCAGTGGTCCCCATTCCCCAGGCCATGGACGTGGACCAGTACCAGTTAATGACCTGTTAGGAGCCAGGCTGCACAGCAGGAGGTGAGCAGAGGGCCAGTGAGCATTACTACCTGAGCTCCTCCTGTCAGAACAGCAGGAACAATTGATTCTCGTAGGAGCAGGGACCCTCTTGTGAACAGTGCATGCGAGGGATCTAGGTTATGCACTCCTTATGAGAATCTAACTAATTTCTGATGATCTGAGGTGGAACAGTTTCATCCTGAAGCCATTCCCCGCACACCCCTTTAATGGAAAACATTTCATGTTTCATGGAAAACATTTTTTCCATGAAAATTGTCCCTGGTGCCAAAAAGGTTGGGGATCCCTGTCTTATGCTTTAGCTTTTTTAGCCCCAATTAGATGCAGCCTTGATGTATGGGGGAGAAGCTCTCAGGGTTGGGGCAACTATCAATTATGGGCTGTGACAGAGGCTGAATGCCCCAGCCTTCTGTCTTGCTGTAGTTCCAATAAAGTTCATTTCTACTTGGCTCCTGAGGGACTCCAGTGGGAATAAGCCTCAGATGTCCACAGTGATAATCAGCTCAAAACTCATCTTGACTAGCTTTGCTTCCTTTCTGAACTCTCTCTGCTCCTTCACTTTGGCTTCCTGGGATTCCATCCAAATAACCTCAGTTCACCAAACCCTTGTTTCAGTTTTGGCTTTGAGGGAATCCAAATTAAGATACACTATTTTCATCATAAAATGTTTTTCAAACTCAACTCTCCTGTACATTTTATCTACATTTTTTTATTTTTATTTTTATTTTATTTTTATTTTTTTGAGATGGAGTTTCACTCTTCTTGCCCAGGCTGGAGTGCAATGGTGCAGTCTTGGCTCACTGCAGCCTTCGACTTCTGGGTTCAAGCGATTCTCCTGTCTCAGCATCCCAAGTAGCTGGGATTACAGGTGCCCACCACCACACCTGGCTAATTTTTGTATTTTTAGTAGAGACAGGGTTTCACCATGTTGGCCAGGCTGATCTGGAACTCCTGACCTCAGGCGATCCGTCCCCCTTGGCCTCCCAAAGTGCTGGGATTACCGGTGTGAGCCACCACGCCAGCCCATTTTATCTATTTTTAAAAATGTTTTTGGAATAAGTTGCATTGAAATATACAAGACACAGAGAACCTTAGAGGATGGAAATCAGAATGATGAGATAAGCTCTTCCCCTTTCTACACCTTTTTTTTTATTGGGCAGGCTAGATGCTCACTGGTACTTTCAGGGTTATTATCAGAAGTGCTAATTGGTTAACACATACACAGTTTATTGTACCATTACAGGGGAAAATGTATTATTTTTATTTCTTTTTCCTGAGCCCCCACAACTGTTGAGAACTGTTTAACCTCTAAGTTATTAACGATTTTTTTTTTCTGTAGAGATGACAATGGCTGATGATTTCTGTGTCCTTAGGGCAAGGGTAAATCTTGGTGTGCAGCCTGAACCAAACAGATAAATATAATTATTATTTCTGTATATTTGATGATGAAAGGGTTTCAGGCTCCACAGACTGATCTTTCTGTCGACAACTGTGTATTGCCGAAATTTTGATTAAAGGCTCACTGAAGTAGTTTATCAGTATTTGTTTGGTTTCAGGAAGTAAAATATGTGAGCTCAATATGAATGACAGACTACATCCATCGAGAGCATTTGTTTCTTCAGTCTGGGAAACTCAAAATCCTTGCTGTAGATAATGTATGAGGAAGATATTTTCTTTTCCCAGATTTGCATAGAGCTCAATAGTCCCCTGATTCCAGACATATTATGTTCTGTAGTAGCTTTCCTTGCCTCCATCTTCCTCCTGCAAATGTGAATCTGCTAGAATACAGACATCATTTAAAAAATAATTTAAACCCTTCAAATCCTCCTGTCTGGAAAATGTGTATACAATTTGTAACAGAGAAGCCCAAAGTGCTGCTGAAGAAAGCCAAAATATTTTGCTGACTTTTTGAAGAGATCATTTCTAGGCAAGGGAAAAAAATACTGATCTTGATAAAAGGAGAAAGAAAGTGAAAAAGCAGGTTCTGATTTTTAAGTTATTCCATAGAATATAGGCAATTCTTTTGCATTTTAAGAAATTACTTTAAAGATACTAAATGGGTGAGAAGGAGAAAGACATTGCAATAGCCCTTCATTGTTTTGAGTCAAAGAAACTAAACTTAGGGGCACTATAATAAATTTGATGTTTTCTCTGTATGTCTGAGAGAAAGACACAAAAGAGAAGGTGGGAGGGGAAAGAAAGGAAGGACGAGGGGAGAGAGGAAGAGAAAGAGAAAGGAGAGAACACACACATAAGCACACACACACACAACTTGGTGGGAGAGAAAACAAAAACAAGCTAACAAAACCATGATACAAGCACTTCCAGATCTCACTTGGTGATTGTAGAGTGGTGACTTTAGTCTTTGTACATACTCCCCAACCCCTAAATTGAAAGCATTAATAAACACAAATAAACTTTTGATAAATCTCAGCTAGTTACATCTGTGTATGAAATTTGAGGTATTTATCCTAATCAAGCCTTTTAACATTGAGAATTTTGAGTGTTTTCATTTTATCATTATTGTCATGAACCTGAGCCTTTGTCATTCTGTATGTACACACCATGTGCACAAGTGATTATGAAACGAAAAACAAACATCAAAGACGGATGCCTTGATTTCTTTCTGTGGAGCAAAATGGTAAGAGGCAAAGATATTCACCATCCATTGTAACTTTGGTGGTTTTCTAAATTGCTTGCAATATGGCAGCTTTTTTGTTCAGACCTTTTAAAATAACACAAACAGACAACATGCAGAGCATTCAGAGTGAAGCCTGACATTGTCTTTTCAGCTGATGGGACTTGGGGATAAGAAAATAAATAATATAAAAACAACCTGCACAATGTGAATTAGAAAATACCTGTCTCTACCTTTTAGGTTTTTGGGCTTTTCTACATTTGTAATATAATCTTTCTATTTTGAAATGGTGGCTATGTTCTTTTTTATTCTTTTATTTTCTCTCTTTCTCTGATTTTTTTAAAAAACAACCCACAGTCCCGTCTATGTGTGGGATAAGTAACTAAACAGTGAGGCATGTGATCAGTGCTGTAGTTATTTTGAAAAGGTGTATTACTTGGCAAAATAGTCTGTAATGATTTGAGCCTATTGTGTATATCTGTGTTTGGATGCTTTTCTAAAAGTGAGCCTTTGATCTGATGAACCATAATAACTTCTTCTGTAGCAAATCCCTCTCAGATGCTGAATTATTGGGCCTCCACTACAGTTACGGTTTATTGGGTAAATAATAGTATGACTATACCAAGCCAAAAGTTATGGATGGCCCAACGTCCATGTTAGCTACCTACAAATCTTCCCATGATTTTATTGAAAACAATTACCAGACTGTATAAGCTCATAGAGGAGACAGGGATTCCCTTTGGATGATTATATAGCCATGCGTGCTATTCTTTTCAAGGCCTTTTGTTCTTCTTTTTTTTTTTATTAGAATATGACAACAGCTCTGAGAAACCAGTGTTGCAAGTTTTTCTGGCCAATAAAAAAACTGAATTTTAGTTCATCAAATGACTCACCCAGGGCCTTGGAGCTTTCAGGATGGAGAGCTTGGCTGTGCCTTCTGGGCAGCTGCTTTCTTCCCCACAGACCCTTTATGGCAGGTGTAGAGTGAAGAGATTTAAGCTCAGCATTTGGCTTGAAGAAAAAGAAGTCTAATATGGTGTTCCAATGTCAGTAATGTTCAAGTTTGCTCACATTTTGAGACCAGAAAAAGAAAAACCATTTTAAGATATTAGTTAGAAGAGGGTCGTAGTGTTGAAAGGAGGAATTAGTAATTTTGTTTAAGAACTGAAGTTTTGGCTTTAGAGAGGTACTTGGCAAAGGTCTTCGTTGCAACCACAGGTATAGAACTAGATGCCAGCTCAATAATGTCACCACAAGTGTTTTTTAGGCCACACTTATATATTTCTTGAAATAAGCTTCTTAAAAAACAGGCTTGGCACAGTGGCTCACACCTGTAATCCCAGCACTTTGGGAGGCGGAGGTGGGAGGATCACTTGAGGTCAGGAGCTCAAGACCAGCCTGGCCAACATGGTGAAACTCTGTTTCTACTAAAAATACAAAAATTTGCCAGGTTTGGTGGCAGGCGCCTGTAATCCCAGCTACTAGGGAGGCTGAGGCAGGAGAATCACTTGAACCCAGGAGGTGGAGGTTGCACTGAGCTAAGATCGCACTATTCCACTTCAGCCTGGGTGACAGAGTGAGACTCTGTCTCAAAGAAAAAAAAAAGGTTTTCATAACTGAGTTTGTTCTGGGGACTATACTCAGAACTTTCAAGATGTGCTGGAATGTGGCCTTATCAGAGTGAATAAATTAAGAATTTCCAACATTTTCTCCAATTAAAGACATAGAGACTACCTTTTATTTTTATTTCTATTCACCTTTTATTTTGCCTTTTTATTCTTGCTGAAAAAATTATATCCCAAATATTTTTTATGCTCTTGGAAGTTAAATGCACATTGATATACTTTCACATACAAAGGATTCAACTTGGCATTGCTGGGTATAATAACACAAATAAGATATCCCCACCATATTAGTTTTTTATTGCCATTTAACAAATTACCTCAAACTTAGCAGCTTAAAATACCACCCATTTGTTAGCTCACAATTCTGTAGGTCAGAAGTCCAACAAAATGTGGCTGGGTTCTTTCTCTGCTCAGGGTTTCACAAGGGTAAAATCCAGGCGTCAGTTGTGCTATGTTCTTGTCTGGAGGCTTTGGGAAAGAGTTCATTTCCAAGGTCATTCTTGGCTGAATTCAGTTCCTTTGATTTGCATCACCGAGGTTCCTGTTTTCCACCTGGGTTTCCTGTCAGAGGCTGTTCACAGTTCCTAGAAGCTGCCTGCATGCCTTGTCCTGTGGTCTCTTCTATCTTCAAACTGGCAATGGAGAACTTCTCATGCATTAACTCCCCTGTGTACTTTGAGTCTCTGACTTCCCTTTCTGCTTGGATAAAAATTTCTGCTTTTAAAAGACTCATGTAATTAGGTCAGGCCCACACAATGATTAATCTTCCTATGTAAATGTCAGCTGATTTAGGACCTTAATTTCATTTGCAAAGACTTTTCACAGCAATACTTAGGTTATGCTTGATTGAATAACTTGGAGAAGGTGTGTGTACACCAGGGGCAAGGAATGGTGGAGGTCTGTCTTATAATTTTGCCTACTACACCTGCCCTAAGGGAACTTAACATCCTTTGAGATGGATAAAACAAGGATATAAAGAGTTAAGATGCAAGTGGTATTATAGGAGCCATAGGATAAAGATGCAGCAGATATTATAAGAGTTCAAAAAAAGGATAAACCACTTTTGTACAGGGAAATCTGCAGCAGTTTCTTGAAAAGGACCTGGAAGGGTGGACAGTATTTTTGTTCATGAAGATAAGGAAAAGATACCCCAGGCAGAGATAGTAGCACAAACAATGGCATAGAAATGACAAAGTGAAGACCATTTGGGAAAGGGTTGACAGCACTGTGTAGATACAGCATGAAAAATGTACAGAGAGGTGAGAATGGAATGACAAATATAACTTCTATTTGGAAAGGGCTTTGAATGCCAGGCAGATTAATTTGGCTCTAAGTTGGTGGGAATGGGTTATTAGTGAAGGTTATTGAGTATTGGAAAGATCTGATGGGAGTTATACTTTAGAAAGATTGATAGTAGAATAGAAACAGTTTGGAGTGGGTTGGGATCTTCCAGGGAGGCTCTTTAGCAATAGCCTAGAAAGTAATGAGAAAGGCCGGGTGCGGTGGCTCACGCCTGTAATCCCAGCACTTTGGGAGGCCGAGCCAGGTGGATCACCTGAGGTCAGGAGATCGAGACCAGCCTGGCTAACATGGGAAACCCCGTCTCTACTAAAAATTTACAAAAATTAGCTATGCGTGCTGGCATGTGCCTGTAATCCCAGCTACTTGAGAGGCTGAGGCAGGAGAATCCCTTGAACCTGGGAGGCGGAGGTTGTAGTGAGCCAAGATCACACCATTGCATTCCAGCTGGGCAACAGGGCAAAACTCTGTCTCAAAAAAAAAAAAAAAAAGAAAAGAAAGTAATGAAAAACTCAACTTAGGGAAAGTAAAAATAGAAAAAAGAGGATGGATGCATTGTGGCGATAGAGTTTATAAATTCAAAAACAGGCTGGATACATGGAGAGAGAAAAATGAGAAGTTGACTTCACTTGGAGCCTGCTCTCATAAGCAGAAATAGGGACACTGGAAAGATTTGTTTTGGAAAAAAAATATGATGATATAGGTTGTACATGGTTTAATTTAGGTGGAATCATTATTGAAAGTATTCTTGGTTCTAAGCATCAAAATAAGGCTGTCAGGAAGGAGAGAGTCACGGCCATATTGGACAAAGGGATAGTAAAATTAACAGGGATCTAAGGCTGCCAGGAACGGGCCAAATATGGAATTAAAATGAATCCAGTCATGGCAGTAGAAATGTGTTAAATGCCTGGCAGGGGAGATGCTTGGAGTCTCAGGCAATCATTGTGGAGGAGTCGGAGGCCATAGACACAGGAAATATGGTCTAGTCTCTCAGGGGGAAGGAATTAGTAAGAACTGGCTCAGAGACAAGGGACCCAGGTACCTCCTGAAAAACTGATGCACTATTCAGAAGCCATTCATACAAGTTGTCCAGACATATAGGTGACATGATTTAGGGGAGGGCTTAGGTCTGCCAATCCACAATTTCCATGGGCTCAGAGTAGACATATTGGAGGTAGAACTAATGTTGACCTCATGGTCTAGAATGGATGTGTCAATGTAGCAATATACATTAGCCACCTTGGAAACACATGACACTGTCTATAAGGTGAGGGTGTTCCTATCATATTCACAATTGAAAGGGAATAGACAAGGCTCAGACTATTATTTAATATACTGATTTTCAAAGGATGGTTAATCAAAATTTTCTTGCAGGCAGGTAGAAATGTAGTTCTGTCCCTCAAAAAAGTGAATGAGATTCTGTGTTCCATAGAATTTTGAGGGAAAGGAGGAATGAAATTTTAGATATATGATAAGTATAGTGAGCAAATTGTTATAATTAGTCTCACTCAATTTTTAGCAGAGAAAGAAAAAGAGATGGGTTCATGACAGGGCAGGCTTACTGGTTTTAAATAATCTAGTGGCCCGTCTTGTTTTTAGATGGAAGAGAAGGAGCCAGCAAAACTACTGCAGAGGAGGGTGGAGGGCCTGTCAGATGGTATGAAGTCCTATAGGAGACAGAGACAAAAGGATGAGCTTGGGTGAAGAGATGAAGAAGTTAGTGTGATTCTCCTCTCTAGTACGAGTAAAAGCTTAGGTTCTTCCTAAAATATGTAGAACACATCATACTCAATCAGCAATGTCCAAAATGTCCATCCAAAACTATTTAATATCTCCTTCATAAAATCTGCTTTTGAAAATACTTACATGTTAGTACATACTTGTACTTAATATTCGGACTTAGATATCCAAAGTTTCCCTTGAAGTCCTTTACTGGCCTTGTCTTTGGGAGGCTGGATAGAGAGGATGGGACTGTCATTGGAATTCCAGTTTATAGCTTCTTGGTTACCCCATGGGGTGGAGTAAGGCAGAGGGTTCCAACACCAAGCCAGGTAGATCAGAATCCTAAGTAGCCAGTGCTAGCAATGTGAAGCCAAGAGGACAAGATGAGGCACCAGCTGGAAGACAAAGTAGAGGATCAGCTGCCCAAAGCTGAAGAATTGACCTAGTGAAGAGGAGAGGATGAACCATGGTAAACTGCTAGGGAAAACCCAGAGAAGTGATGACATAAGGCATGGCTAAAGGTTGGATTTGTTTAAAACAATTATGCTTCAATTTAGTTCATGAAATTTAGTTTCTTTCCTAGTACTGCATCAAAGATGTTTCTACAGAGTCACAGAAAGTCTTAAATTGGCAGACTCCTTTTTAACTTTCTCCAAGGCCTTTCATGCCCTATTCTCTCCTCCTGTTTTTTTATGGGCATCTTTGTCTATTCAACCAAAAACAACTCTTCTACTTCTTAGTTATTATTTTTTTTTTCACATGGCCTCCATTTCTGCTGGAAATTTACTCCTAGTACCGTCTTCCAAAACACTTCTTTATGCCAGGAGTTTCTGAAATCCCACTTGTTCCATGCAGATATATTGGCAGAATTATGGAACCTTCTTCCAATTACCTTTCTAATCTAAATAAAAGACGATGGCATTCCTTCCACCCTTCAACCTCCAATAGTCACTTCACCTTTTGTGATACATCAGGTTAAGAGTCTTTGTGAATATAACTTACAAAAAATATGTAACGATCCAGTGTGGTGGCTCATGCCTGTAATCCCAGCGCTTTGGGAGGCCAAGATGGGCAGATCACTTGAGGCCAGGAGTTCCAGACCAGCCTGGCCAATATGGCGAAACCCCATCTCTACTAAAAATACAAAAGTTAGCTGGATGTGCTGGCAGGTACCTGTAATCCCAGCTACTCTGGAGGCTGAGGCAGGAGAATCCCTTGAACCCAGGAGGCAAAGGTTACAGTGAGCTGAGATGCACCACTGCACTCCAGCCTGGGTGACAGAGTGAGACTCCATTTCCAAAAGAAAAAGAAAAGTCCCAATCCTATCCTACCATAATCAAAAGATTTAAATTATAAATTTAAAATTTGTAATTTTAAATTTTAAGTCCTTGGAGCATATTTAAATCTCTTGATGTGAGGTGAATGAACTACAATGTATTTTGTTAATTTTATTTAACATATCTTTCTTGAATGCTCACTATTTTCCTAGGGTGGTAGTATGCTAGTGGTGGTGGTGATGTTTATGTGTGTGTGTGTGTGTGTGTGTATGTGTGTAAAGGGTAGACATCTAAGTAGAGAAGATAAATGTTTGCAAAAGCAGAGGCATTCCTGGAGAAATTGCAGTGGGTAAACTGTGGCTGGAGCACAAAATGCATGGATATATGAGGGCATGGTGGTATGGACAATTAATCCAGCCATGCTTGTTGAAAAGGAGCTAAGATGTTATTCTGAGGTATTTGGAGTGTATTCCAAAGACCATGGGGGAGCCACAGGTTTTCAACCATGTGATCTCCATGAAGACAAGATCTAAACCTTTTTTAGAAACATCCCACAGTGTCTGAGACTTCAGAACTAGATGGTGAAAGTTTTTGCTAAAATAAATTATACTTAATTCATGTGAAGTCAGTGTAATGCAGGGCCAATATTGTGACTGTACTGTAGTAGGGAGAGGCAAGAATCTGGGGCAACCTGTGGACCACTGATACATTCAGATAAAAGATGGTAGAGATCATAGAGTTATGGATGACTTTTATTTTTGTCTTCATACTTCTGATCATTTTGCAGTATCTTAAATGAACATGAATTACATTTATCATTAAAAAAACCCCATAGACCTTATTATACACGGAAATAGAAATGACTAACAGGCCTTTGGTGTGCTTTTAGAGAGTACAGGATAGAGTTGACAGGCATTTTGAAAATACTGGACTTGGATAAAGGAAGGATCTCTTGCTGCCACATGTGCATGTTTCATGTGCCTTAGATTTATTGAGTTGGATTTTGATTGCTGTGTTCTGATAAGCCTATAGGGTAATTCCAGGCCTCTGTAGGTGTTAGGGCTGGGGCAATGTATTAGTACATCTGCATGCTGCTGATAAGACATACCTGAGATTGGACAATTTACAAAAGAAAGAGGCTTAATGGACTTACAGTTCCACGTGGCTAGGGGAGCCTCACAATCATGGCAGAAGGCAAGGAGGAGCAAGTCACGTCTTACATGGATGGCAGCAGGCAAAGAGAGAGCTTGTGCAGGGAAACTCCTGTTTTTCAGCCATCAGATCTCAATGAGAGTTATTCACTATCATGAGAATAACACAGGAAAGACCAGCTTCCATTATTCAGTTACCTCCCACTGGGTCCCTCCCACAACACATGGGAATTGTGGGACATACAATTCAAGATGAGATTTGAGTGTGGACACAACCAAACCATATCAGACAGTCTCCCTAATAGACATTCGGGACATTGAGGTTTTCATGAAGGGAAATGACGTTTATATGAAAAGTCCAAAATAGGCTGTAAGAAGACTACTCTTAGCTCTGACCTCATTATTTCAGGCCAGCCCTTTACAGGAGACAATGATGCGGGAACCTTGAGATACATCCTTCAGGGACAGGGGAAACCACCTACCAAGGGGAGCAAGTTGGAAGCTAGACCAGGACCATTCACCCATAGAGGGCTATAAGCTAAAGAAAATGGAACTGTATTTCACACATTAGACTATCTAGTTGCTTGTTGTTCTCTGTATTTACTTCCTTTCTATTATCCTTGTTTAGTGAAGTCTTGTTCTGTATTTTATCTGAGCTAGGCTTTGGGGGAACTGAAAAAAATAGTTGTATTTCCACACTTGGACTAAAACATGAAATGGGGCCACTCTGCTTGGCTGTGGTAACAGAACTTAGTATGAGCTCATGACAGAAAGGTGAATCTTAGGGTATAGGTGGGAGGCTGTGAGTTCCAGACATCCCTTCCTAATAGTGATTGTCTCTGTTACTGTGAAGGATTAGGGTCTGACCTTTTTCAAGGTATCTGCATATATAAGTTAGTGCCTGTCTGAGGAGAAAAAGGGGAAAGAGCAGAATTAAGTAAGACTTGATGTTTCTGTTTTCCTAATTAAAGAGATCATGGTGCCGTGAACTGAGATAAGGCACTCATGAAGGTCAAGTTTTATGGAGGAAGGACTTCGAACATGGTAAAGATGAAGCATCTTTGTCCAGGTGCAGTTGTCCAGGAAGCAGTGGGACCTGGCTTAATATGAAGAAAGACATAGGATTAGGAACTAGAATTCAAGAAGTCACATCTCAATAGGGGGTGAGAATACCAGTTATACTACCACATGGCATTGCCATATGAACAAAATCAATCACCACAACACTATGGATAGCTTCTGGCAAAAGGCACTTATGTCCAGAGTTGGATAATAAATATAAAGGCACTTATGTCCAGAATTGGATAATATGTTACTCTTATTAAAAATAATAACCAGCAGCTCTGTGTATTCTGCTGTTAACTTCACATTTCTGCCATGTATTATTACTCTTTCTCTTTTTAGAAGCACTTTTAATTATGTTATTGTTAGACCTAAAGCAAAGATTTATTTGGAGAACTACATTGTCCCTGAGTAAGGAACTTTTTAGTTTCTGGAGAGAGTTGCACTTAGGATGTAATAACTAAAGCTTAAATATAGCATGATATATCTGCATCAGTCTTTTAAAAATTTTTTTACTCCTTAAAGCCTGGTAACTTTTGGTTTTATTTGAGGACTGAGAAAGCTACTCACATTTGAAATTGGAGGAAGGAAATAATTTCCTTTGAAACACCACAAAATCACTGCATGTTACTAATACTATAAGGCTTCTTTCCCATTCAGTTTATCTGGAGAAAAACTGATTTGCATATGTTTGCATCTATTTGCATGTTCAATTCAAGCTACTCCCAACTCTAAGTATATAAGATGAAACAAATTAACTCCTTGTTTTAACCTGCTGTGATTCTTGTCTAATGCTGTGTGGTGGGTTTGGAAATTGTAAGTGCCTTGGAAATTGGTGTAGAATTCAAGATGTGTGGAGGTGGGCATTCAGGATATCATGTTGGCCTTAGGGGCTCAGGGGCTGAGAGCTGGGAAGCCACAAGAGGCCTGGGAGAGTGTCAAAATGGGCAAATGTGTCCCCGAGCGTGAGCTTACAGAGCACCCCCTAATTGAGCAAGGGAAATCACAGAGGAGGGTTTTGAGAAACTGCCATCTGCAATCAGGGACTTAGAGCTACTAGAGGCGAAGCTTATCCTTGGTCCTCTGCCCTTGACATTACTGCCCTCCTTTCAAGGATCCTCTAGCATGTCCTTAATTTTTTACAAATCTATATTGTAAAAGGATGGCTTATCTTCATATTACATGTTCACTAGACAGATTATGGAAAAGAAAATCTTCCCTGAATTTTCTTCCCCTAATATGTGTGTGTATATATATTTATGTATGTGTGTGTGTGTATATATATATATATTTTTTTTAATATATATGTATATATGTATATATGTGTGTGTGTATATGTATTTATTTATATATATATATATATATAGTAGCATATCCATCAAACCATAGGAAGTAAAATGTTAGAGGAAATTTTAGGTTCTTTGGAAAACCAGTAAATATATTTTCTCCCTGGGAGTAGGTGGTCTTTGAAGCCACTACATAAAGACAGTTACTTCTTTACTTTCTTATTGGGCCAGACTTTAAGCCTGCTTTTATCAGGGCAGTAGCCACTTGCCACATGTGCCCATTGTACAAGTAAAATGTGGCTGAATTCTTCTGCATTGGGGTATGCTGTAAGTATAACATACATATTTGTTTTTTTGTGTGTGTGGAGATAAGGTCTTACAAAGCAGGGTCTCACAAGACAGGGCCTCACCAGCCTAGGCTGGTCTCAAACCTCTGGGCTTAAGCAATTCTCCTGCCTCAGCCTCTCAAAGTTCTGGTATTACAGGTATGAGCCACTGCACTTAGCTACGCATTGATTTTTAATGCTTCCTGTCAGAAAATAATGTAAAATTTTTCATTAATAGTTTTTTTAAAATGCTAATTACATGTTGAAATGATAATATTTTTGATATATTGGATTAAGTAAAATATATTATTAAAATAAATATTTTGCTCCTTCTTACTATTTTTTTTTAATGTGACAACAGGAAAACTTGAAATTATTTATGTGGCTTGCATTATGGCTCATACAACATTTCTGTTGGGCAGCACTGCTCCAAGGGAAACATTTCACTGAGGAGAAATCTTGAGCAAAAACTGAGAGTCCACGCTGGGGCTCTGGTGGGAAGCAATCGCTACCAGTTGCTCACACTCTAGATTATTGCTATTTGTGCTATGAATATCAGATGTCTTAAAATTATTTTAATGTGGATTTTGCTTGCTTTTCCTTTCTTTCCACCCTGTCTGTATTTCTACTATGATCCAATGTAGAGATAAGGGAAAGCCAGTGTCCTCAGCTTCAGGCCTATGTAAACGGATTTTAGTTGAAACAGTTTCTCCTGATGACTGTTTAAAACTAATTAGGTTTTGTCATTTATTCACATGGAATTTTGTCTCATTGAAATCTTGCTACTCTATTTAACCTACTTCTGGTTGGCGAATATCTGCTGCCATGTTAGGTTATGCTTTTTTGCTTAAATTAACTCCTAAATAATATAGCTTAGCAGATACAGGAGAATGAGTGGGGAAGGAAAAGTTTTCACTTTTTTTTTAAAATACAAGACTGATTTTATTATATTGCCAGAGAAATAAGTTAGATTGCTCTGGCAGTCTCAATAAATCACACATGAAGTCATTTTTTTTTTCTAAATTAAATTTTTATTTAAATAAAAGTGTTATGTTTGTATTTGAGCTGACAGCTAAATCTGATAATTAGAGTGCATGAAGTTGGCTTTGATTGGCATTGTAATTGGATTGTCATTGGGCTGAGAACCTATTATCTTTGGATCATGCCCCATGAAATCTGTTGAAGAAACTTTGCTGCCAGTCATTAGAGCCACCATCTTGGCTTACAAATTAGGTTTGAAAGGCTTCTTACCACTGGGAATGTAATTTAAACCACTGTAATTGCACTCCCATTAATTAAAATTATATTAAAATTATGGTTCATTTTCTAAATTTTTTTGTATTTTATTAGACATACTTATTACTAAATGCTTAACAAATTACATAGCAGTGCTTAGTAAAATTATGTTTCATAGATAATCCATCTCTTCAGCACATGTTACTCAGCATCAGTAGAATTAGTCACTGTTAATCATTAAAGGATATACTATTTACATTTTTCATTACAGGTTTCAGAAAGAAGCATTTCCTTTATTTCAACATAAAATGCAGGACCAGCAATGTGTCGTGTAAATTAAGATAAGTCCTGCCAATAAAGAAATATGCAGCTTTCCTTTAAGGAGATGTCATCCGTCATGGTCACAGTTCTTCCTACCTTAATTTCTTTCTTTTCTAAAACAATAGAATACTGTAAAAGACAGAAGTCTTTTTTGCCCCCATTTTTCTTTTTTGGATAGATGATTAAGAAAAAATTAAAAGCACACATGTGCCAAAATCTATGCTACTCTTTATTGCTGTTATTGTCTGCTAAAAGCAGATCAGCACTGATTAAGACAGAAAAGGAGCTTGTGAGAACTGGAAATGAAAATGATGTGGGAGATGGGGGGTGAGACAGGTCTCTCCCAGCTGGCAGAGAAGAGGATGTGTATGACAGGGTCCATGATACATCCTCTCTTGACTCTGGTCCTTCAATCTGCCCACAGCACCTTAGATACTACGAGCATCTGCCACCGTCTAGCGTATGGATGTGAAGAGCTAAGAGGCATACTTCCTGAGATACAGAACCAGGCAAAGATCCTGATATTTACTTCTCTTGTTTATTGCCCCCCGACCTTTTTGTGATTGATGTGATTATTCAGGAATATCTCCTCATCCCTCAATTTCTTGCCTATGGATAACTTTGGGGTGATAGTTTGGCAGCTTGGATGAAAACTTTCAATGAATTTAAAAGTATAAAATAAAGTTTTCAAATTTATGCTGTTTTTATTTAGATTGTACTGAATATCTATACCTCTCCCCTGCTCTCTCAGCTACATTTTTTAATGTACCTATTTCCATTGTTGCTTCTGTTTCTAGCTTCAGCGTTTTGTTTCTGACATGTAATAGATGCTCAATAAATGTTAAATTGAATTGAATTGAATTTGAAGTCTAAAGATTACAGCGTTACTTAGAGCCAAATCCCAGATAGGCTAAAATATCATATATGGGTGGCAGCATATAGGTGATAAAGTCTTTCATGGCTTGTTTTATTTACTCCCCTGTATGATGTTTTAGAGATGATTTAGGGTGAATACTGCTACTTGCTTTCCCATCCCTCTTTTCTTAATAGATGACGACATTGCAGGTCAGAGAACTGAGAGATCAAGAACACACAGTTATTGAATAAGTAGCAAAGCTGAGACTAAACCTCAAAATTTTTTCCAAGTTCAGTGTGCTTTCCATTTTCCCATGCTGCTCCCTGTTTTAAAAAAGGACCGCATACATCCCCAAGTGAGGGAGAATGTCTCACTTTCCTTTTTACTCACTGGTGGGAGAGGAAACTGGAAGACAATTAGCCATGGATTAAAGATCCTGTTTGGGCCCTGTGACCCTTTGAATTCCTTTCAAAGAATATATTCTAAAGATGTAATCATATGAGGACTTATTAAATCACAGCCAACTTTTATTGAGCCCAAATGAGCCAGGCATAGTGTTCAGCATTTTTCATACCTTTCCCAGTTTAAGTCTCAGAACAGTTTAATGAGGTATGTTCTTACAATTACTCTCCCCTGAAACAGATGGTGAAATGAGGCATGGGAGGATTTTGTATGTCCAAGTGTCTAAGTTCCATGGCTACGTAGAATTTGGATCCACATCTGATCCTAGAGCAATTTTTCCCCACTGCTTTGCTCACTGTCCAGTCTGTGCAGTGTTGCTTCATGCAAAGACAACCAGGAAATGATCTAAATAGGGAAATTATTTAGAAAAACATCCTTGAAATTCTACAAATGATACTTTAGATATAGATGATGGATGCCAAAAGATGATAGCAATAAAATTGAAATCTATAAAATGCTATGATCCCACTTTGTAAACATATGCCCATGGAAAAATATCTGGAGGGATTATAGCTCAATTTTTTGTTTTCTTTTTCTTTATATTTTCTATTTTAGCTACAATGAACAAACCTAATGGTGTCATTTTCTTTTTTAGGCTAAAGTACATTAATTGGGGAGTAGTTTAGAACTTTTGAAGCACTCAAATAGCATCAAGGAATTGTCATAAGGCGTGTCTAAGCAAAGCGAATTCCACTTGGATATGGTTTGGCCGTGTCCCCACCCAAATCTCATCTTGAATTATAGCTCCCATAATCTCCACATGTCATGGGAGGGACCCAGTGGGAGGTAATTGAATCATGGGGGTGGGTTTTCCCGATGCTGTTCTTGTAATAGTGAATAAGTCTCACAAGATCTAACAGTTTTATAAAGGGCAGTTCCCCTGCACATGCTCTCTTTCCTGCTGCCATGTAAGACATGCCTTTGCTCCTCCTTCACCTTCTGCCATGATCATGAGGCCTCCCTAGCCGTGTGGAACTGAGAGTCCATTAAACCTCTTTTTTTAAAAAAAATTTACCCAGCCTTGGGTGTTTCTTCATAGCAGTATGAAAATGGACTAATACAGTAAATTGGTACCAGTAGAGTGGGGTACTGCTATTAAGATACCTGAAAATGTGGAAGCAACTTTGGAACTGGGTAAAAGGCAGAGGGTGGAACAGTTTTGAGGTCTCAGAAGAAGATAGGAAGATGTGGGAAGGTTTGGAGCTTCCTAGTGACTTGTTGAATGGTTTTGACAAAAAGTCCAGGCTGAGGTGGGCTCAGATGGAGATAAGGAACTTATTGGGAACTGGAGCAAAGGTGATTCTTGCTATACTTTAGCAAAGAGACTGGTGACATTTTGCCCCTAGCCTAGAGAACTGTGGAACTTTGGAATTGAGAGACATGATTTAGGGTATCTGGCAGAAGAAATTTCTAAGCAGCAAAGCATTGAAAAGGTGACTTGGGTGCTCTTAAAGGCATTTCATTTTATTTTTTCACAAAAATAAGGTTTGGAATTGGAACTCATGCATAACAGGGAAGCAGAGCATAAAAGTTCAGAAATCTGCAGCCTGAGGATGCGATAGAAAAGAAAAACCCATTTTCTGAGGAGAAATTCAAGCTGGCTGCAGAAATTTGCATAAGTAACAAGGAGCCAAATGTTAATTGCTAAGACAATGGAAAATGTCTCAAGGGCACGTCAGACATCTTCACAGCAGCCCCTCCTATCAAAAGCCAGGAGGCCTAGGAGGAAAAAATGGTCTCATGGGTGAGGCCATAGACCCCCCTGCTGTGTGCAGTCTCAGGACTTAGTGCCCTGCATTCTAGCCCTGGCTAAAAGGGGCCATTGTACAGCTCAGGCTGTTGCTTCAGAGGGTGCAAGGCCCAAGCCTTGGTGGCTTACATGTGGTGTTGGGCCTGTGGGTCCACAGAAGTCAAGAATTGAGGTTTTGAAACTTCTGCCTAGATTTCAGAGGATGTATGGAAATGTCTGGATATCTAGGCAGAGATGTGCTGGCAGGGTGGAGCCCTCATGGAGAACCTATGCTAGGGCACTGCAGAAGAGAAATGTGGGGTGGGAGCTCCCACACAGAGTCCCCACTGGGGCACTGGCTAGTGAAGCTATGAAGAGAGGGTTACCATCCTCCAGACCCCAGAATGGTAGATCCACTGATAGCTTGCACCTGGAGAAGCCACAGACCCTCAATGCCAGCCTGTGAGAGCAAACAGAAGGGGAGCTGTACCCTGCAAAGCTACAGGGGTGGAGCTGCCCAAGACTATGGGAACCTACCTCTTGCATCAGTGTGACTTGAACGTGAGATATGAAGTCCAAGGAGATCATTTTTGGAGCTTTAAGATTTGACTACTCTGCTAGATTTCAGACTTGCGTGGGGCCTGTACCTCCTTCATTTTGGCCAATTTCTCCCATTTGGAACAGGATCATTTGCCCAATGCCTGTGCCCCATTGTATCTGGGAAATAAATAACTTCCTTTTGATTTTACAGGCTCATAGGTGGAAGGGACTTGCCTTGTATTAGATGAGATTTTGGACTGTGGACTTTTGAGTTAACGCTAAAATGAGTTAAGACTTTGGGAGAGTGTTAGAAAGGCATGAGTGGTTTTGAAATGTGAGGACATAAGATTTGGGAGGGGCTGGGGGCAGAATGATATAATTTGCCTGTGTCCTCACGCAAATCTCATCTTGAATTGTAGCTCCCATAATCTTGTGTCATGGGAGGGACCTGGAGGGAGGTAATTGAATCATGGGTGTGGGTCTTTCTTGTGCTGTTCTTATGATAGTGAATAAATCTCATGAGATCTGATGGTTTTATAAAGGGCAGTTCCCCTGCACTTGCTCTCTTGCCTGCTGCCATGTAAGATATGTCTTTGCTTCTCTTTTGCTTTCCACCATGGTTGTGAGGCCTCCCAAGCCATGTGGTCCATTAAAGCTCTTTTTCTTTATAAATTACCCAGTCTCAGGTATTTCTTCATAGTAGTAGGAAAATGGACTAATACACCCTTCTAGTTAATTTTCTTCTTATATTGCTTCTGGGCAGGGCCTCTCTGCTTTCCTCCTTGCATGCAAGCCCTCTGGTGGGCCTTTGAGCTCAACAGGGCATCAGGGAGAAGTAGGCTTGTTGTGAGGCCAGGCTTGGAATGTCTATGGCTGTTCATGAAGTGGAACTTATATGGGATTCAAAGCTTTGTTGTCATTATTGTTTAGCAGGAGCACAGCCTTCAAAGAGGAAGCATGACAGCCAAATTTTGGGTAGTTTGCACAAGTATGAGCTCCAGCAACTTAAGGAGCAGCAGGCATATTAGAAAGGAAGCTCAGAGAAATGAAGGAAAAGAGAAGCAAGATACCCACCTTTTGAAAAGAGTGGCTTATTCTCCTCTTTTGGTGACTTGGGAGGGTAAACAGTATATAAAAACAAAGGGCATAACTGGGAGCCCAGGAGAACAGGGCTGAGACAGGATGGAGCATTATGGTTTGGAGTCCAGCAAGGTGTGCTATGTGTGTAGGCTCTTCCTTAACAGATGCTTCATGTAGTCCTGCACATGCCATGGTCAAATCTCCAAAAGCAAACTGGGCATTGGTTTGGGTCTAAGCCATGGCTTATGATTTGTTCAGTGCCTTCGACACTTTGGTGTAAAGTTGGGGCAAGCACCCAGAAAAGAAGCTCTAGGTCCTCTATTCTTCTATTTGTACATTTGAGGTTTGGGGTGTCTAATAGAATCTCATTTGAACAAGGTCTAGAGCTAAAACATCATCTATGAAAGTTCAGAGGTTGGGTGTGGTACCTCACACCTATAATCCCAGCACTTTGGGAGGCCGAGGCGGGTGGATCACCTGAGGTCAGGAGTTCTAGACCAGCCTGGGCGACATGGCAAAACCCCATTTATACTTAGCAGGGTGTGGTGGTGCATACCTGTGGTGCCAGCTACTTGGGAAGCTGAGGCAGGAGAATCACTTGAACTCAGGAAGCAGAGGTTGCAGTAAGCCAAGATTGCATCACTGCTCTCCAGCCTGGGTGACAGAGTGAGACCCTATCTCAATAAAGTTCAGAGTATTTAGGAAATAGGAGCTACAATATGCAAGTTTCCTTGAGGGGAGAAATTGAGGAAAAAGGGTGCTGTCCATAAAATGCAGTCCAGAATGGGACGGCTGCGTATGGGGAGGACAGCAGAGGTGGACCCTGAAAGAAAGGGCAAAGGGGCAACCAAAAAAATCATCACCACATTTTCACAAGTATTTTATTTAACTGGTTGTGTATTTCTACTTGAGAAATGTCTAGAAATATTGCCAAATGATTTATTTGCCAAAGAAATTCTAAAGTTTTGAAGAATTAAATTTTCTCAGGCAATATCGGTCATTTAAAACTAAGTGTTGTTATAATATAGCCAACATAGAATTTTATATATAGATGGTGATTATATGTTTATAATCACCGTAAACTCCAGAGTGCCTCTGTATAATTTTTTGGTGTTTCTAGAGTTTTGATTTAAGTTTTCAGTTTCACAATGAGTTTACACTTTTAATATGGCACAATAGAATTCAGCTCCTCAGTAAAATTCAGCAATTCTGTTCAGCAATTTTTATGCTGTATAAAAGATGCAATTTAGCAGAGAAGTTATAAGGGTAAGCTTTGGAGCCAGATCCCCTGAACGTGAATCCCCTTCTGCCATTTATTAGCTGTATGGCCTTGGTAAAGTTTCATAAATTCTCTGTATTTCTATTTCCTCATCTGTAAAATGGGAATAATGACAGTATTTCACTGGCAGGCTTTTATTGAGGATAACAGCAATTGAAACTCTTGAAGTGGTTAGAACCATGCCTGGCAAAAATGAAGTTCCATAAATGTTAGCTATCATTGCTGTTATTGTTATTCTTAGACACTTACCAAATTTCAGGTACTGGGGGAGATACAAGGATGAAAAAGATGTATTTCTATTCTTCAACTATCTTAAATCTTAGATCGCTATTTTTCTCTATTTTATTCATTATATTAGGTTGTATTACTACTGCCATCAGTGTTTTCTATCAGAATTTCTGAGTTCCAAAGTTGTATTATTGAAAGAAATATGGAACTCTTTTTATGGATTTTTTATATTTCCTGGGAGAGATAGTTACCTCCTTCCTAAGCAAGTCAAGACCTAGCAATTCACTGCCTCTAAGGTGAAGCAGCCCCTCCCTAGATAACCACAGTGGGATTCCAGGAAAATCCTTTGAGTATAGCAAAGGCCCTATGCTTGCTCCCCTCTTGGTAAATGAAATCATTGCTCTCCCTTTAAGACTAACTTATCTAGGGGTGATGTTTAGCTGACATTTATGTTGAGATCGCTAAGTGTGCAGCTACAATATATGCACACATTTCCAGAATACCCACCTGCCTCCTCCTCCTCACAACACAGCTGGGTCCTCACATGCACATTTGAATTTTTTTTAATGTACTCTTCCCTGAAACTAAGAAAAAGAGTGGAATCTTTTCATTTTTTTCTTTTCAATTTGTGTTAATATAGACATAAGCCTTTATTGGGAAAAGTGAAACCAATGTGTATGAAACTTGGACTATATCCAACTGAAAATAAAAACGAGTTCAGATGCTTTCTATGTTGGTTTTTGCCTCACATGCAGATTGTGCTGTTTGGTGAGAAATAATTAGTCATTTACAGGTTCATTACATAGTACGGTTAAACTTGACCTTCTCTTCTCTTTGGCTTGCTGGTGAGAGACCTTTCTCAGTAGGTCCAGCTGGCTAATATGGCTCTTATATGTATAAACCTATGTAGTACAGTCTGTATTTTCCAACTCTAATGTCACTCTCTTTGAGATCCCGATTTTACATATGGCAAGGAAGAGCTTATGTGTCATTCATTTTTCAGTTCTTTGTATAAGATCTCTAAATGGGACGTCCATTCTCCATTCTACCCTCTACAACAAAAACAGCACATTGTTATTTAAAAAGCAAAGGCTTTATAGATTAGTTGTTGAATGTGATATTCATCTCATGAATAACTAATAACATAAAATAAAGAACAATGAAAATGCAAATTATCTGCACATATACAGTGGCAGTTAGCAGTACGAATATCCCTCCTGAGTTTGTGCAAGGTAGGAAAAAGCCAGTCAAATTTCTGATTGTACCTAGTCCTTTGAGTTGTTGAGACAATATCAGAATTCATCCTTTTTAGGACTCATTATTAAGGCATGAAAAAAGAGATTGAAATCTGGTAGAATTTTAATTCTTTCGTTAGCATTATTAATAAACAAGAATTGGCAGGAGCTAAACTGATTGGCACATACATCTGGAATAACAGAAATAAATAAAGTTTCAGAATGGGAGGTAGGGCTTCTACTACAGGGATTTTGGTTAGAAAATAGCATGTGTGTGGCAACAGGTTCAAATCTAAACAAACCACAAATAAATCTTACTGAGAAGCACTTTTAGTGTGTAAGATAGGGACAGGTGGGTGTCTTTCTTCATGAGTGACATGTGTGGCTTTTATTTTGGGAAAGAGATCAGAAAGTCTGTTAGGGAAATGGAAGTGGAGTGTAGGTTACCACAGCTGTGAAAAACTAGCCCAGGGAGACTCACCAGGGAAAGGTCTCATCATTTTAAGTATCAAATTGCCCTAGAGCATTATTTGCTGGATTGACTCTTAAGAAGACCTAAATGGTAAAGAAAAAGATCTCTGGCCTTTGAAATATTTATATGAATACACAGAACCAAGATTTTGTTTCATGTGTAAATAGTGAATTAGCTTTATTCATTTGATAAGGAAGCAACATACACCAAAAGCACTGAAATTGTCTTTTTCTTTTTCTAAACTGCTGCTTTTTTCCAGTCTGTGTGCCCATCACGCACAGTACACTTGGTCAATGCATTCAGTGAGAACGATGATGGTTAAAGGTTGGATTTCATTTCCTTGACAGTCTGCAACCAGAAGATGACTCTCTGCTTTGGATTCTAGTGGTAGTTCGCCCCGTGTCACTTTTGGTAAGGATCCCACAGAATAGTCATGCAATATGATGTGGACAAGGAAGATGCAAACATTACAGGATGTGCCTTTTTATAAGGCATTAAATTACCTTCAATTCTTTTCTTTTCTGGGTGAAAGAGAAAGATGAAACTGAAGGCTCGAGAGCACCATTGAAAAGCAACAGGCCTCGCAGATGGCTGACCCAGATAACTGATAGCATGACATTACAGCCTCGCTCTGTGTGGTGAGCTCTGGCAACCCTGAGCCCCCTGGCTGCCCGCCACTAACTGCCAGGCTAAACTTTGCTTCCTGTGGTCACTCTGAAATTGTCGTTAGCCTAATGGAGGGGCTCCCCACCCTACCTACCCACAGACCAGGCCTCGATATTTCCTTCTGCATCACCTCTTGAGAGACTCACTGCATTGAAGAACTTGGGGCATTCATGAAACTTTTGTCTTGAGTCTAACATGGCTTAGATCAGTTCTCTTCAACCAGCTGTACTCCAGTGCCCTTAGTCACGTGGAAGAGTTAAACTCTTACTTCGTTCATGCCAAATCAACCCTCAGCAAGAAAACCATTTCTTTTTAAAAATGCAGAGAAATGTACATTGTACTCCATAATATGTCTGTGTTTTAATTTCTTAAAGTATTTAACAACCATCACCTGCTGCCATGACTGCAGCATTTTAGAGAAAAAGTGATGTTTAGTGTGATCCTTAAACCAGCAGTATCAACATCATCTGGGAACTTGCTGGAAATGCAGATTCTCAGACATCCACTTACAGAATCAGAAACTCTAAGGGTAGAGCTTAGCTATCAAGCTCCACTGGTTCTTAACAAGCTCTCTAGGTGACTGTGTTGTATAATAAAGTTTGAGAGCCATGTGCTGTGTTAACCTGGGGACTGTGAGTATTTTCTGATGTGGGTACTCTCAGGCATGTCATTCCCAAATTGGAGAAGCAGAAGATAGTTGATGGGAGCAGAGGTTCTTCAGTTTTTTTTTTTTTTTTAAGGAAATGTTTACATATGGGAAATACATATGGTCCCCAACTTACAATGGTTCAACCTACTATTTTTTTTAACTTTACAGTGGTGTAAAAGTGGTACACATCCAGTAGAAACTGTACTTTGAATTTTGATCTTTTCCTAAACTAAGATAAACTCATGACTATCTGTAGCATCCTCATCATCCAGCAATTAATTTTAGTTCAGTGCTTCAACATTCTTCAGGCCTACTGTGCCTTCAGCTGTATACATTAATGATGAATACTCGTACGATGATTCTGTTTTTTACTTTTGGTACAGTATTCAATAAATTACATGAGATATTCAATGATTTATTATAAAAATATGCTTTGTCTTAGATGATTTTGCCCAACTGGAGGCTAATGTACATGTTCCGAGCATGGCTATTGATGTTTGGTAGGTTACATATTGTATTAGTTCATTAGTTCATTGTCATAAAAACCTGAAGCTGGGTAATTTATAAAGACAAAAGGTTTAATTGGCTCACAGTTCTGCAGGCTGTGCAAGAAGTGTGGTGCTGGCATCTGCTTCTGATGATGGCCTCAGGAAGCTTACAGTCATGACAGAAGGTGAAGTAGAAGCCAGACCATCACATGGCAAGAGCAGGAGCAAAAGAGAAAGGGAAGAAGTGTTACACTCTTTTAAACAACTAGAACTTGTGTAAACTGACTGAGTGAGAATTCAGTCATCACCAAGGGATGGCACTAAGCCATTTATGAGAGATTCACCCTGATGACCCAATACCTCCTACCAGGCCCCACCTCCAACACTGGAAGTCACATTTCAATGTGAGATTGGAAGAGGACAAACATCCAAACCATATCAGTGTGTTAAATTCATTTTCAACTTATGATGGGTTTATTGGGACATAACACCATTGTAAGTCAAGAAGCATCTGTACTTACTTGGATGTACCCAAAGTTCATTGAGTTGGCCCTTTCATAAATATTTACTGAGCACTTACTGTGCAGGCACTCTTCTGTGCATTAGAGATACAACTGTGGACAAGGATAGCCAATAATCAAGTGTAATGTCAATAGAAATAAGTGCCACAGAGAACAATATAGCAGTATATAGGATCAAGAATGTCTGAGTTAGGATTGCTCTTTTGGACAGGGTGATCAGAAAAGGGCTTTCTAAAGAGGAAGCTTTTGAGCACACCTGAGTGAAGTAAAGGACCAGGTTATGAGACTGTCTGGTAGAAGATATTTCTAAGCAAACTGTGGATGATACCTTTGTCAGTTTCTCCAACTTAGAATAGAGAAGCCTCGATACTGAGAACATTTCTTATCTTTTCCTTCTGGGCTCTAGGTCACTGGGACTCACTGTCTCGTTCCCAAGTCAACTCTGTGCTGAAGACACGTTCAATAGGAAGAGGTGGTTTAACTCTTCTGGCAAATATTATGCATGGTGGCTGTCCCTGAGAGTATCTGCTAGAGCAAGGGGTCAAGCATTGAGTCCTAGGCCCTGGGTGAGCAAGGGAACCAACTGGAACTCTAGACCTCTCTCTCACATCTCCCAGAGCAAAAACTAGGAAAACAATTTGCAGTGTTTTTACTCCATAGATGACATTGAAGTTCTTCTCATGTCTGGATGTAGTGTATGGATGTGAATATAAATCTCTCACAAACTTTCGTACTTTACTAGTAGCAGCAACACATTACTTGTAACCTTACTTTGTGAGTATTCCAGGCACAGCACTTTGTCAAGACAAAGCCCTAGGTTAAAAAGTACTGTGAGAGAGGTCAAGGTAACAGATTCAATCCCTATCTGTGGCAGTTATCATTCCCCTAGAGACTCATGACCCTTCATAAAGTGGATTTTTTTTTAAGTAAATACCATTAGCATCAGGGAGCATGGGGCATGGAAGTACAAGTCATTCTCACCAAAGGCTTGCCAAATAAAGGCAATATTGACAGAGGGTTAAGACGGAAATTAAACAATTTGTTTGTTGCAAAGTATGGTGGAGGCTGAGATTCAACTAGCAGAAGCAAAAATCATTTCTCTTTCCTTAATTCATAGCCCTTTTTTTTTTAATGAAAATATTCAATGAAAGTAGTATTCAACAGTAGTTTATGATCCTGAAGAGCCACTCAGGGGTTTCCCCCTTCATCCTACTGAAAATGCACAGAGACTTCACAAGAGAGTTTCACTGAGCAGCAGTGGTGATAGTACAACCAGGGCTTTACCTGTCTTTGAAGATGAACAGCAGAACATCCATCATCCATGAGACCCACTGTGCTACCAAAAGCGTAAAGAAAACCATGAGTGCAGTGTTGTGATTCCCAAAGATATTTCTAATGATTTTCAAAACAAGAGCAAGAAAGGAGTCACAATTGTACTCTATTCCCACTTGAGATACAAAGGACATTTTCCCCAGGATATGGGGACTGATTAAGCCAGCAGTATCAACATTATCTGAGAACTTGTTAGAAATGCAAGATCAAGCACTTTCTTCTCATTCTTTTTCATTCATGTGCTTTCCCTCACACTGCTTTACTTTCTCTGCCTTTCATTTCTCTGGTTTATCACTGGCTCCCTCATCCTTCAGCCCTTGGATACAATGTGAAGTTTGAAACCTCCAGCAGTCCTTTCCTTCAAAGAAAGCATGTAACCCCCACACTGGAATGTCTTTGGAGCTGTGTGAATAAATGTGTTGAGAAGGAGTAGATGGTTCCCAGGTAATTTTTGCAGACAGAACGGCAATCCAATTCTGGATCTGCAGTCAAACCATCTGCAGAGATAAACATCAGAAGCAAATTTGTATTTGTGGGGGAAACTGTCCTTCGTCCTCAACCCAACATTGAATCTGAAATATTTACAAGCTTTATTACATGTAGAATTGGTTTTTAATGCTTTGAGGTGTTGTGTAGGTGAAAGGGAATGGAGCTGATAAATGTAGTTACATTCTTGCATCCATTGGTGACACAATTTTCCAAAAAAGTCATTTTGCATGTAGAAAAAAATAATGATGGGGGAAATGAAATAGTGTCATAAAAATGTATAAAATAATCTGGCAGGGCTCAAAATTTGAGAGAGATTTGAGGCCAAGCAAAAGACTCTATCAAAAAGACTTTAAATGCTATCTCCAATTTTCTTAAATTTAGATAATAAGAACATAACATTTTTCAATCTAAAATGATTCCCCTTGTTGATGGGGGTCTGAGAGCCAGGGCTGCAAGACTGTTCATTCTGGTTTATCTTCAGATGAAATCCAGCCATGGGGTTCAGGTGGAGGGCATCGAATTGTTGTGAGAAAGCAGTGGTGTAGAAATCTCTCATTGCACCGGCATCAGACTTTCTCACATACACAGAGATAGAACATTATAATTCTCCGCCCCACCCTGCATTCTTGTGGGATTTAAGAAATTCCTGCTCTCACTTTCTACAAGGGCTGGTGTAGTTCATGCTGGTGCCAAATTGGTCACAAGGGGGCACCGAAGTGCCACAAATTTTGCCCTGGGACCTTTCTACACATGCAAATTTCCAGCAACAGAGGCCACAGAACTGTGGCCCTTCAGGAGCATTCTTCCCAAGCTTGCTTGGCAGAGGCATCACCATGGTGGTTGGAATCATAAAACATCGCCCACAGTTTGTGTCTGCCCAAGTGTCCATCTTGGTGCCAGTTTGAAAGTATTCCACCATGGTGGTTGAAGCACCATATTAAGGTTCTTTCTTTAAAATATTTTTTTTTCTTTAGCTAATTCAGCCCTGCATCATGTTACTTTTAGAGAAATTGTTACAAAAATCCATTTGAGAGGAATCTGTTAATTAAAAAAAAATTGATAGTACACTTTCTAACAATACATTTCAAGTATTGGTGTCCTGAATCTATTCCTAACAGGGAAACTATTATTTTCTTTTTTAACTGTTTGCCAAAGGAGACAGTCATTTGTTTATTTATTTACTGTGCATTGTCTTTCCTCTTTACCTGAAAAGTGAAGAATTGGCAGGGTTCTTGCTGCAACATGAAGAACCATGGGATAATTTCATGGAGCAACAGTGAAGTTATATGTTAGTTTCTCTCACTTAGAGAAGATGGGGAATTTGACTATTGATTTCAAATTTTCTCTGTCTGGGCAGGAGAGCTTGTATTTTATTAAATGCAGTCAATTTGTGGTGAAATATTCTTTTTATTTTTCAAGATAGATTGCTGATTTACTTTAGAAGGGTGGGAAAATAAGTCTGTACCTGCTGAGTGCTGAAGAGAAGTGTTTATTTGCTTTATTGATTTGATCCATTTTTGTGAGATGTTTTCTATGTATTTTTCATTTGGCTACAAAACCTGCCCACAAATGGTCCTGGCTGTTGTACTGCTTCAGCATTCTGGAGAATAGCTCCAAAGAGTAGAGTTTGGAATTTGCAAATAATTCTTTTGTTGGAGAAGCCTTTCGTGGAGAGAAGCTCTGTGCCTCGGATATGGACAGGCTTATAACAGCAACCTCTATACTTTCCAGTGATCTTGATTGGTTAAGTTGTCTTACGGTTCGAGGGTATGAACAAAATAAGTTTTGGCTTCCCAGCTAGGACCCTCAGATCATTGTTAAGTGGGAAGCATGATCAATCACAGGTACTAACATAAATACCAAGAATATTAAGCTTTCAAAAATGGTCCTTCTGGCCTTGAATTCTTTATTTGGTATCAGAGGATGAAAGCTTCCTGTTTAAAAACAAAATGATGATACTGCTTCCGATTGAAAACTTATTCATTTATTTAAAAGCTAGACTTAAAAAAAGCTAGACTTTTAAAAGGCCATTCAATTATGATGAGCAAGAAGAATGTCTGATCTATAGTTTTAAGTGGAAAAGTATAATGTACATACTATGTATATAAAATTTTACTCAAAATTTTACATACAAGATGTAAAATGTGAGTATGTTTATATGTAGCAACTGGGAGGCATTTTGGATTACATAGGCTATTTTGTAGGGATTTAGATTATAGGTGACTTTAAACAAATTTGGTTGTGTTAATTTTAGAACATTATTTATGCTAAAAAAGAGCATTGGATACTTTTGTAAAATGATGACTCCTTTATGTGATTGGGACTAATTATCTTGACATTTTCTGGCTGAGTTAAAAAATTTTTTGAATGTTGGGTTTCTTTCAAGTCATATCTGATTCCATTAGAGTTGACCATTTCTACTTTCTTTACAGAGGAAATCAGACCAAGATTTTTAGATCTAGACTGGAAAGATAAACATAAATTTTATTGCAATTTAAATTACATATAGTATCCATCCAATTTTGACAGAATAGGCTCAGGATTCATTGATATTTTTTATTTCTTCGATAATGAGGTAGAGAAAATAAACTTGACAAATTCTAAACTATACTCAACTGTTCTAGAAATAATATATAATAAGCTTCCATTAATGGAATGACCTGTTGCAATGAAGTATATTTTTAAAAATCCTTATGTATATATTTCAAGATTAGAAAGCTCACACACACACAATTTTTTTTAATATATAAAGGAGAAAACAGGTTTGTCATACAATTAGTTCATATACATATGAGGTCAGTTAACTCTGTTCAGCTTTTAGTCATGCATAGAAGGATAGCTAAAGATAGCAGATTCAACCCACTTCATTTCCTATGTGCGCCTAAAGGCACTGATGCTGAGTTTTGGCAGAGAAAATAAATTCAAATATAAGAGGATGTAGGCATGTTGATTTCCAGACCAGAGAAAGAAGTTAAAGAAGTAACTTTGTTTTGGATAGAGGTGGGTGGGAAGGACGCTCTCTTTGAAGTAATGTTCGGAGCTTAGATGATGTTCTAGGAGCCTTTCCAAATTTAATTATTTTTGTGCTCAGTATTTCAAATTTCAAATAATTACAGTTATCTAAATTTCAATACAGGCATATGGGTTCCCCATTTCCTGTGACTTATAACTGTACTTGTTTGGGGGAAGGAAGTTTCAAAGGTGAGATTCATTTTCATGGTGGCTGTGGTTGTTTCCATTGTGCACTTTTCCAGGCAGTTGTTGTGAAAGCAGCCCAGGAAACTTTGCTTATCACTGGCTAAAAGGCGATACTTAAAGGTGAGCTTTTGGGTGGTGGAGCAGGAAGTGGTGAAAGAAATACATAAGAAAGTAATCTTGGAACAAAAGCCTTGCCAATTTGTTCATTCTTGCATTTTTAAAAAAAAAAGAATAATAAAGATTCGATAATCCTGGATTCTCAGAGCAATGCTTCCATCACTGTGCTTCATCCTGAAGAGCAATTTGTTCATCTACATTAGGTTTCTTATTTATATTCACATATGGATAGGTATTTCTTTACATTCGGCTGCCTCTTATTATATACTGAAAAGACAATATGCTTTTCCAGTCTTGTAGCATTGTTGCTGGTTTGGGACATCCCCACGTATTAAAAACATGCAACTGGCATAGGATGTTTACCCCATTAATTAAATTTTTCCTAATGCAGTTTATTGTGGGTGCTATTTTCAGGTCATGCTTCTATTTGTAGTCTCTCTCTCTCTCTCTCAAGTAGATTTTTAAAAAAACAGGTCTAGAAATCTTTGTGAAACTTAAAAAAAATTATATGGAGTTATAAGCATTTCTTTCAAATTAACGCTTATTTAGATACCTAAAATGTTATCACCTGGAGTTTTTTTTAATGTAGATAACTCAACTTGACTTCTATTTTTTTCTTGTTTAAAAGTTTGTTGTTGTTGTTGTTGTTTTTAAAATGAGAGTTCTTATTGATGGGAGAATACTGAGCCCCCCTTTCCCTAATATGTAGATGAAAAGGGGAAATTAATGATTGACTGAACTTTTCACTTTTATCCAGATGTCTTTGCTTTCTGTCTACTTAGCCTAAGTGTGTGTGTGTGTGTGTGTGTGTGTGTGTGTGTGTGTGTGTGTGTGTGTATGTGTCTACAGGCATGTGTTCTAACCCTCCAGTCCCAGGTAGAAATTGGTGGGGTCAGTTCTGGGATGGTGATAGAATCTGGCAGCATAAAGTGGTGTGGGTGGGTGTCGCTTCAGCTAGAACCAAAATGCTCAGATATCCTTGCAGGTACAGGTGTGCTGGGATGGACTGCAGGACTATAATGTGGAGATGGCACCTGCCAACAAATTCCAGTGACCAAACAAAGGGAATGACTGCTCTTTGGAGACTGTAATTGTGGTCTCACAGCAGATCTCACATTGTTCTATGCTCCGTGGTAAAGGGACAATTTATGTGTTGTTTCAAGAAATTATTATTCACATTTCTTCAAAAGAACTCTGCTTTGTAGTATTCCTGGGGACATTCCTATTTGACTGCAACAGTGACTGCCTTAAAGTGGTGAGAAAAAGTGATCTTCACACATAGAAGTTAGGAAAGCAAAGGTGATTGGGGACTGTGGTATAAATGTGTTATTAAAATTCATCTCTTATATGGTGAGCTATATCTAATTTCAGAAATAGATTTTATCAACCAGAATCAGCAATATCTTTCAGTCTGCAGTTCTCTGTTACACAGACACATTCTCTATTAAATATATTTTTCTCTTAAAACTGGGAATATTATCTGATGCCTGTGTATGAGTGACATACTCCAAGTCCCATCTGCTGATCTACCTTTCAAATATTCCGATGTCCTCCTTGTTTCCCATTTTTTACTGTTCAGGTCCTCCACAGAACATTACTGTCCCAGCAGACCTTTTATCCAAGGACTGTTGATCACAACCCAAGAGCTGTCATCCTATTTGCATTCTGTGGAAGCATCATTATTCACAACACTTGATGTCCATAAAAACACATTAAAACTATTTCCTTGAGCAAAAATAATCAGCTCTCTGCTGTACATATCATTTGTGTACTCAAATTGTAAAATGTAAATTGATATATAAGAAAATGGCCCATTAACTTTTTCATTAATGACAATAATACATTTTGTACACCAGCAGTAGGAGGATCTTGCCTCTACTTTAGCAACCTGAAGGGTAAATGGAGCCCTCCTTCTTTTTCTTTTCTAATTTCATAAAAATGGTGGGTATCATCAAGCAGAGATTCTTTTATGTATCTTACTTGCCTTAAAATACAGAACCTTTGATTTATTATAAAATTAAAACTACCCTGGTATCCTATGTGTGTTTTTTTAAAGAAAGCCAAAAATAATTATTTACTATTTGATTATGCCTGAGAGGACAAGTTTTCACCATGGATAACATGTAATTATCTTAAAATGTTTATTATAGTTTCAGTACTTAATTATATGCTCCCATATTACATTTAAAGTATTACCAAAATCTTAAAGTATTAAAAAAGGATGTCTTTTATAGCCAGATAACTGTCATAAAATGCAAATCTATAACTGATCTGAAAACACTGAATATAACTTTTTGTTATGAGATAGGGATATTTTTATTAAATTTCATTAGGATTTACTTTGATTACTTTTTGATGAGAATGTAGCATAAGCATGCTTTTTATACAAGAGAATATTGAATTAGTCAGTTGTCTTTTTTTTCAGGTATTAATGATAGTCATATTCTTTCAGGGATGTAACTCCTATAGTGCCTACATGAGCAGTTGTCAAACCACAGTATTTGATTGAAACATGGATTAATAATTTGTCTATCACTGATACATCATGCACTAAGAGATAAAGAGCATCTGATATTAACTGAGAAATAAAATCTGCCTTCAGTAAATTGCGTAGAAAAATTACACAGTACATTTAAATTACCATTTGCTTAGCAACATGCCCTTGTAGCCATTCCAGTGGGGCTATAAAATGATCGATTTACTTTAATTTTCTACTGAATCCTGAAAAAAATGACTATCAGTAACCTATCCCTTCATCATAGCATGCTGATTCACTCTGTGTATTAAATTTACTGGCAAGGAGCAAGACGTTAACAAAAAGTAACAGATAATGTGAACATTTCATGCATAATCTGTAATATGAGATATGTATTAATAGGGAAATTATGATGCATTCAATTATTCTGAAATGCCTTCCAGAGATGTTTTGATTTGGCTGCGCTCGGATAGTAGCAGCACAGCGGGGAGCATCTCAAGTGATGAATAACCTAATCTCCTAATCTCAAAATGGGCACTATTCACAGTTAGCCTGGGAGAGGCTGGTGGAAGAAAGCACACTTTGCAGACAAGGCCACTAAGATGAATCCAACAAAAATAACAACTCAAACAACAACAAAATAACCAGCACCCCAGCCTGCCAGCCTGCTACCATGCCACCCAGCCTTTTAAAAATCAAGATATGAAATGCAGAGCTCTAAGGAATCTGTTTTGTTCCCTGTGATCACAGTGGTCTAGATTCCAATCGGAGAGGTACCTTTCCATGCCTCTCAGCCAAACTTACAAGACAAAAGGCTATAAAAATGATTGCACTTGCCTTAGTGCTGTTAGGACTCTGGTATTTATGAGACATTATGTAAGCACAAGAACCCTTACTAATTTGCCACGTTTCATGCACACCTGGAATAATCTTCCCCGTGTATACCGGCTTTTTTTTTTTTTCCTTTTCCTTAATTTCCAAAGAAAGCCTACCCCAACAGGAAACTGTTCATTTTGTGTCATAAGCCCCCTGTTCTATAAAGCTGCTTGGGCGTAATTAAGTGGCTACGTTTACTTCTTCATGTGGGGAACAATGGTCTGGCTCCTTGGAGAGGTCAAGCAGGATTTATTTTATTGTGTACAGAGTCGGAGGAGTGGAGGAGGTTGTCAAGACAGTAGCTGGTCATTCCTTTGCCATTTATGTGGCCCTCTCTATGTAAGAGTAAGGCTGTATATATTTTTTCAACCTCTGATTTGCTTCCCTTTTTTCCTGGGATCATTGCTACAAAACTATTAGGTAATACTCTGTTGTAAGGAAAATCAGTCCTGAGGAAAATGTGCTATGCATGTATGCCTTCCCCCACCCTCAAATTACTTGATTGCAGCGGGCTCACTTTTTGATTAATGCAATTTTGCATAAGGTAATATTACACGAGTGTATTACTTTTCAGTAATTATTCAATGGAGTTAATATGGCAGACTTCTTGAAGAAAAATTAGAACCGTGGCGTCTCATTTCTCTAAATCCCCAGCACTGTTCAGTAGGGTAACAATAATAATTATGTATAAATAAATAAATTTCTTTTATCAATGTTCACTTGGGCTAGAAATAACGGGCAGCCTCATCCCCAATCAGAACACTAACGGCTGTACTTTTTAATTAGCAATGTTCCGAGGGGCAGAAATGATTTTATGTGCAGTTTTGTTATGCTGCAGTTTGGGAGAGTGACACAGTGATTTGTTATAACAAGGATCTTTGCAGTTTAATCATCGTGTGAAATTATGTGTGCTATTTTGCTTTTGCTTTCCCTTGCACCTTTGAGTTTGCGCCACTCCACAACGGAGGACAGGAAAGGCTCGTGGACTCCTTTTCCTAAAGCAATTTTCTCTCCTTTAGGTCTGATTTCACGTGAGCATCATTTTAAATTCCAGCAAGATGTGGTTCTATTTAACTAGCCCTTGCTTACAGAGGTCCCATGCCTACTATTATATTTCCTTACCATGATACATACTTTGCAGTGCATTTTTCTCACTAATCATGGTTTAGCAAACAAGGAAGGAGGGCCCCGTTTTATGAAACTTTCTGATGAGTGATGTTCAGTTTATTTCAGTCTTTAGTATACTAGAATGTACAATTGCTCTGAAGATAAATAAAAGATTCAGCCGGGTGCCACTGGAGAGCAGAGCAGCATGTCTTTGGCATTGCTTGAGACTTATCTGATTTGGATTTGTATACCTCATGGGGAATGGCAAAATATTGGAACAGACGGCTTGATATTTCCGAAGAATATAGTGGGCTTTATTAGCACCAGTTTCGCTCCCTGACTGACGGCTTTTTCAAATTTTTTATCTTATTAATCCGTGCTACTGTATGTAAATGTTATTCCTCTCTGCATAAGGGAGGCAACCAGCGATTTGTAATAAATGCTTATGAGTGCCTGAGGCTGCACTTAAACTTTAAAACATCTATTATTAAGTTGCAAAAAAACACTGTAATGGCCAATAGTGACCTCATAGGAATTTTAAACTGTGGTCTGCTCTTCTGCATTAAAAACAAAAAAATTGCCTCAAGTTAGAATTATGAGCAATGCTATTTTAACAGCTGCATTTTGATTATTAAAGTGTGTTTTACAACTGAATTACAATGCTTTTATGGACTCTAGGTATAAGATTTAAAAAGGTCATTAAACATAGTCGGGTTTTGTCACAGTAGGTGTCATTGTATACAATGGACACTACACAATCTATTTTATGTCACCGCACTTAGGATTTAAAATAGCATGCAGGAGCACTTTAGTTTGTTTAACCATGTAGATTACTATAGACCTCTCAAGGATTTTGACAGTTTGCAGTCTGAGATGACTACTTTCATTATTATTTTATTAATTTGACAAGAAGCCCTACAGATTTTCTGTGTATCACCGATCCATTTGTCCCAGAAATAATTAAAAATGCCAGCCTGGAGCAACAGACAACAGATACACTTCTGGCAAATCAATGTTCAAAAATGCATTGCTTGTACTGTAGCCAACTCTTTAGTCCTGAAACATTTCTACATTTTCTCCATCTGATCATATATGGGCTCGTTGACAATAGGTATTGACCTATGGTGTAGGTTTTCCAAATGTAGCACCTTTAAATTGATTTATCCATTATGTCATTATGCTGAATACTATATGTAATGTTTACATCTCTTGCTGCACAAATACAGGGTAAAGTTGCTGAAATTTCCCAGGGCTGCCTCTGTTGTATACGGCTCAGCAAGGCGGTAAATGTAAACTTCAGTTTGTCTTATGTATGCCCTGCCTGTTAGCTACTTATATGTAAATCTTTAATTTTCTTTTCATTAATTTGGCATGGTGTTATGCCTGTGACTAGCTGGAGTCCATGCCATCCGTGAAACTGATTTCTGGGTGCCTGATTGTTGATGAGGACACAGGGATGGAGGTGTGATAAGGAGCATACAATCCTCAAAATAGTTGACAAAATGTCACAAAGGATTTTATTTGCATGTAGTACCCTGGGTAGGACATAATGATTAGTGTGCAGTGCATCGCTGGCACTGCGTATCCGAGCTCATCCAGATAACATGTCTGCTGCACAGCTTTGAATATTGTATATGTACTTTGAACATATCTATGACTAGCAAAGCTGTCATTCTGTTGAAAAATGTAGCTGCACGAATGACAATACTGGTTTGATTTTTTTTTTAAAGAGGACATCTTCTAAATAATTATTATCATGCTAATAACATTTGTATTCTTTTGTGTATAATTAAGATCTGCCTGTCTAAGCATGAAATAGGGTTGAAATCGTGAATGAGTATGCTATCCTTAACCTATTTAGTAAATCAGTTTTAATTTGGCTTTCTTTAGGTTAAATCATAACAATAGACTGCTGTATACAAAAACCCACACTTCTTGGCTGTAAACAATCTTGGAAATATTTAACACTCAGCAAAGCTTCCCACAAAATTAAAGGAGCCCCTCTTATGAACGTTAAGTGTTGAATCAAAGATAATAATTCAATGATATAGAAGTCATTTATTTTATAAAGTTAAAATTATTTATTTCTCAGAATGATAAATACCCAAGCAATTTTATATTCTGACCTCTTTGGCTTTGGCATTTTTTTCTTATGTAACAAAAAAATTAATCTAAGACAATATTCCACCTACTTCTGAGAGGACATGAGGCAGCAAACAGGATAAAAAACAGTGAAACATAAGCCATTTACGGATAAAACATAACAGGTTATGTAATTTAATGATCACAAACTGTTTTGGAATACATCGTGCCTTTTTGTTCCCTTAAAATAAGATAATCTGTTTTGAGCAGGATCTTTTTTTGTTTGCTTTTCTGTTTGTTTGTTTGTTTTCTGGTATAATTTCATGGCTAATACCTAGGCAGGCAATCATGCTAAAAGAAATTATCTTTGTCATTTTGCAAGGGTTATTCTTTATTTTGAAGGTTCTTATGGCTTCTATAACCTAGCATATTTACCCTTCCCTATCCCAACTGTAACCATTTGCATGCTGTCATTTATAAGGTTATTGGAAAACACCTCCATTTATCAATTATGAGAGAACACAGACTGCTCGGGAACAGTTTGAGCAGCATCCTTGGCAAGTGAAATGTCTAAAGAGGTGGGGGGCTGAGAAAGAAAGAAAAGAAGAGAAAATGGCAACAGGAGGAAAGTGGGAGTGTAAAGAACTCATTGACGTTTCTGCTTTTGTTTTCCTGCTGAGCTCTACTTGCCCTCCTTCCCACAGCTTTCCAGGTGTTGTACACACAGGCCCCTGCCACTTGATTTTTCCATCCATATTTTTGGTGCTCATGCTGTTTTTCTGTGAATCTGCATTTGTTTCTCAGTCATCAGCAAATATGTTCTGGATGTCTGTGCATTGAAGGCCTAGCATTGTGCAGAGCCCCATGAGGAATACAGAGGGAGTGAGGATGGGACCTATTCTCACCTCCTATCATGGGCAGAACAAGCCTTTACAAAAGTACCAATTCAAAATAAACAGAAAATATAATATGAGGTGAGTGCTAAGTAAATGAAATCACATTTACAAAATGGTTTGCACTATAGTGGTTTACAAGTCATCATTTCTTAATAAATGCTAGTCACTAATAATAATATGTTGATGATGATGATAATTTGATGCCAGTAAGGACTGAAGCAGTTGCCACAGAGGAAGAGGTTAAAATGGAGCAAAGTTTTCTGCCACTTAGGAGACCCTCAGCATTTGAAGGGTCTTCCACAGTGGAAGATGCTTTGCTAGGTCCTCTCTGACCCAAGCCCCATTCTCTCATTTCTCTGACTCGTTTTCTTTATGGCAATTAATACCTTCTGATATACTACCTAATTTGCCATCGACTGTTTTTTTGTCTGTCGCCTTTCTCTGGAATGTAAGCTTCATGAGTGCAGGGATCTTTGTTTTGTTCGTTGAGAAACCCCAAAGTCTTTGAGAGTGTAATGGAACAGAGTCAGCACTTAATACCTATTTCTTGAATGCTGAATGAATGACTGAAAGCTTGTCTAATTTGCCTGCCTCCTCTCTGTTTTCTAATCTCATCATCTGAGTGTTCCCACCTCGTGCACACTTAGTGGCCATTGTGGGTCTGCTTTCTATAGAGAATCTGGTAGGCGGAGGATGGAAAAGAGAGAAAGATTTCCAGGAATGGCTGGATGACCTGTGATGCCTGTGCAGCCTGACCTAAGGTCAATTTCTAGGAACAGCTAGAAAATTCAATTATAGCCTCCTCATCTGTTTGCATATTGAACCCAGTTTTTCTGGGCAAGGTTTTCCTGAGAACTCCACTTCTCCGACAATTCCCTCAACCTTGCATAGAGGTTAAGTAAAGAGGCTTTGGAATCAGGGCTTCAGTCCTTTCTCCTCTACCTTCATGCCAGATTAACCCTAAGCAAGTTCTTGGCCTCTCTAAGCTCCACTTTTCTGATTTATGGAACTGAGATAATAAAGATACCTACCTCCTAGGTGGTTGTGAGGAATTAAATGAAATGCTGAATGAACTCTGCACAATGGTGAGCATTGATAGCCAATGAAATACTACTACTAATAAGCACTATAGGTTTATGATCATTATTGTTGCTATTTATTTTGGCAGGAATCCAGTATGTTGTGTAAAATGTTACCTAAAATTTTGTGAGCTGTGTTACACCTTAAGTTCTCTCTTTCTTTAGTATCTAATCACATCTTCTTTATTTTTTCCCCTATTTTCTCAGAGATTTAAATTATCAGTAGATTTATTTGAAAAAGAAAAACTTAAGGAACTGGTTTGGGAGAATATACTGAGATTCAAAACTAGAATATTACTTCAGAATTTAGAAAACATCTTTTTCCCTCCAAGTCATGATTACTAATAGGAAGAGGGGTAAAATTATGTGATTTGGATGAAGAACAATTAAGAGAAGAAAGTAAAGGAAGAATAGTTTGAAACCATTCACCATCTTGATTTTATTTTTAATTTCCATACATTTGACTAAACCTAAGTTAGTATTTTTGAATGTTACCTGATTTTTTTCTCTTACATCTGTATTTTCTTGCAAGCAATTATTATTTGTCGAATAATGAATTAATTAGAAGGGATGATATCTGTATCTATATCTATATATCTATATCTAGTTAGAGAATGAATATCTGCAAACTGGGAATTACTTTTCACAAAGAAATCTAAACATAAAAAGATAATTAATTTGAAAAAGAAAAATGATATAGTAATGTTGCACTAAGCACATTACAAAATTTCAATAATAAAGATGCTGTTACTATTGTAAGATGAAATAGGCGTAGTATAATAGAATTTAAATATAGAAATTAAATAGTATAAATAATTTATACAATTAAAAGTAGCATTTTGATTTAATGGAGAAAAGATAAATAATTTGAAGAAATGTATTAAAAATTTAGCTATTTGGGGGGAAAAAGAATGTAGAATTCTGCCTCACACAATATTTAAACATACATTTAGGGTCAATTAAAAAGTTAAATGTAAACGATAAATTTATAAGAAAAATCTAGATGGAAGATACGTTACTAACAGATCTAAATGTAGGGAAAGCCATTTTAGCATAAAAGTAAATAAAGGAGATATAGAGAAGATTAAGTTTGATGATGTAAAAATTAAATATTTATTCATGCAAAAAATTAAAAGGCAAAAAAAAAACCCAGGTAAATATTTGAAATATTTATAAAACATAAAGTGTTAGTCTTAATATAAAAAGGGATTCTTAAAAATCAGTAAGAGACAGATTCTGCTAGGAACATGTGTCCAGAAACTCAACATTTTTCCTTTGTCTTCTCAGAAACCTTAAAAAGCAACATGGAGAAAGGAAAGAAAAAAACCTACACAATATTTTTGGTTGAACTAGAATACAGACTGTCAAATGTTTGCAGGGACTGCCAGTTGAAACCATTGGGAGTAAGTGGAGGAGAACTGGGTTCTGTAACACAAGGCTCTATAACTCTTCTATACAAATATGCTTCCTGTAGTTCGGGACACACTCTGAGGGACAATACCTGGATTCCTTGTCTGCAAAGAGGGTTCAAAAATGGGATGAATGGGGAAGTGACAGTGCTCCTATCCCCAGAGGGAGGATCGGGCTTAGAGCAGGTTCAGAGGCAGGGAGTGTCATGAAACATTATGCACATGGCCTGGCGCAGTGGCTCATGCCTTTAATCCCAGCAATTTGGGAGGCCGAGGTGGGCGGATCACCTGAGGTCGGGAGTTTGAGACCAGCCTGACCAACATGGAGAAACCCCATTTCTACTAAAAATGCAAAATTAGCTGGGCATGGTGGTACATGCCTGTAACCCCAGTTACTCAGGAGGCTGGGGCAGGAGAATCGCTTGAACCCAGGAGGCAGAGGTTGCAGTGAGCCGAGATTAGACCATTGCACTCCAGCCTTGGCAACAAGAGTGAAACTTCGTCTCAAAAAAAAAAAAAAAAAAAAATGCATACAAGCCACAATGGCAGGATGTAGGCTGGCTTTATCTGAGAAAAGATGCCTATGAACATGAACTAACCCAGAACACACCTGACTCCTCCACACTTATGAGAACTTCTTACAAACAGCTCTTCCAGAAGACCCCAACTCAGACAATACTACAAACACTAATACTAAAATACAACACTTACACAGCGTGTATACATAGATAACATTTTAAAAAGAGGAAAAGAGCCTCATTCTTAATTAACAAAAAACATTCACCAGAATGAGGTTGCTGGGACAGATGTAAATTGTGAGTAATTGTGATGCCTTTAATTAAAATAAAAAAAAATCTCTTTACAAAAAAAACCACAGTGCAGAAATGCAAATATATAGGAAAGACATGATAACGTGGCAAAAAGAATGAAAAGTAAGCTGAACAAACTCATGAAAGAAGTAGAAAAAAAATAATGAACTACAGAAATGGAGGTGAAACAGGAAGCAGCACAAGTCCAAGAGACACTGCAGAGATCATGGTCAGGAACACGGAGGGTCGCAATCATGAGAGTGAAATGAAACAGATGTAAAGAAAGATATAAAGGATCAGAACAAAGATGGTAGAAATAGAAGTAACGAGGAGACATACTATATATGTATTTAGATTCCTTATGGAAGAAAATACAGTATTAATGAAATAAAACAATTATTTAGAGATACAATTTGAGAACATTTTCCCGAAAGGAAAGAATTAGTCTATCTATTGAAGGGGCACTAGTGCCAGGAAAATTGACCCATTTCAGTCAATACCAATATTAGGGCTTAAGAAGCCACACATACACACAAAAAAGGAGTCATTTTTTTAAGGGATTAAAAATCAGGTTGGCTTCAAATTTCTCCACAGCAATCTTCAATCCCCAAAGATAATAAAATTAAAGTTACCAGATACTTAAGGAAAAGAAAATATGAGTGAAGGATTTCATATCTAGTAATGCTGTCTTTATACTATAAATACTATAAACCAACTGTTTTGAATGCATGAGTCAAAGTGTATTCTTCCAGTGAGCTCTTCTAGAAAAAATTACTAGAAAATTGACATTAATAAAACAAGAGATAACTTGGGAAAACATAGCAAAAGGACTGGCAGTGAACATTCCATATATTTAATAGAACTAAGACTAAAACTAATGTGGAATGTAGCATAACAGACATAATGTAAATGTTATATGCTAGCGATTCTCAAATTTTAAGATACATACAAATCACTCGGGGAGCTTCTTAAAATGCAGATCCTGAAAAATTAGGTTGGGATGAGTCCCGAGATTTTGTATTTCTTACAAGTTCTTAGCTAATGTTGATGCTGTGGGTCTCTGGACCTACTGTGTGTAGTAAGTAAGGTACGGTAAACACAATACAACCAATAGAATTAGGAGGGAAAAGCGTATGGAAATTAAAAGAAGTATGATTATTCATTCATTGATATCTGTGAATTAATGAGTATTGTCTACTGCTGATAAATCAACTTGCTGAAGTATAAACATTTAGTAGTACAAAGGTAAATATTAAGAAATATAATATTATTGACCAAAATCAAGCAGAGGACGAAAGCGAGAGGATTCCAAGGAAAAGAGACGTGATACTTTTTTCTCATTGCTCACAGTAGGAAACTATTAGATACAGCCCTCCAAATTAGAGGATTAAATATATAATATAAAGATATAACTACAAAGGTAATCATTAAAACAAAGTACAAACCCCGTTTTTAAATATTAGAACTATAAACATGTAAAAGAAAACAGAGCACAATAGTGAAAGATGTAAACAGTAACTAAAAAGAAACAAAATAATGACAGAACAAAGACCAAATATATTAATCATAGCAATAATGCAAATTGTTTAAAACCCATTATTAAAAGACTAATGATTTTAATTAGAATCACATAACAAACCCACCCTTTATATCAGGGTTTCTCAACCTCAAAACTATAGACATTTAGGGCTAGATTATTCTTTGAGTGGGTGGATGGGTGGGGGCTGTCTTACTCATTGTAGGATGTTTAGCAACAACCCTAGATTATTCCCCAGGTTCCAGTAGCACACCCCTCCCTCAGTTGTGACAATCAAAATGTTCCCAGACATTGCCAAATACCACCCCCGAGGGGAAGGAGAAGGGACAAAATCATCTCCAACTGAGAATCACTGTTGTAATTAAGACATGCATATATCAAAATGATTTAGAAAAGTTAAAAAGATAGGCAAAGACATGCCATGCAAATGTAGATAAGAAAGATAGATGGTAACATAGTATGAATATGAAACAATAAGGAATTCAGGCCAAAGGCATTAAGTAAATAACAACAAGAAAAGCCCTTGGTAATGTTAAAAGATAAAATTTGCAATAAAGATATAATTGTTGTAATTTTCCATGCACTAATACTATAGCATCAACATATGAAAAATATAGGACATGTAAATAAAAATAGAAATGTAATAATAATTTACCTCTTATTGTTGATGATTAGACAAAGTGAAAAAAAGTAAATACACAGAAAACTGAAAAAATAATGTAGATTTTTTTTTGTATTATGTTAGTTCTATTCTATAAAAATAGAGGGAAAACATTATTTTCCAGTAACCATGAACCCTTAGCCTGATCGTGTCCTAAGGAACCAAGGAAACCACAATTATCTCCAGATGTATAAATAGCAAAGCAAACTTTTTTATGACAAAGCAACAAAACCAAAATTGTGAACAAAATTAGAAAATAAAATTCTCTACTTTCTAGAGGAAAGTGAATCAAATCTAGGTTTAAAGATGAAATATAAACCAAAATTTCAGAATATGTGAAAAAAAAGCTGTCTGCAGGACAGTACTATTACAGCTGATAGGATGCAGCTAAAACAATATTCAAAGAAAATGCATAGCCTTAAATTTTTATATAAATACATAGTAAAGACCACAAAAATTAATATAAGAAGAGGCAACAAAATAAATATAAAAAATAAAAAGAAACAAGAAAAATGCATGAGTTAGAAAAACAGAGACAAAGAACAAAAATGATATAACTAAGGTGTTAGCTAAATTCTTTAAGATAAAAAAGGCCAACTACAGTACACAAGAAAGAAGAGACTACTTTATTCAATATTTTGCAAATAAATTTCTTAAATGTAAGTGAAATAATTTGTTTAAGTTGACTCTAAAGGAAACACAAAGTGTAAACAAGTATTTTTCCATAGAAGAAATAGAGAATACATCGTTATCTATACTTTCCTCCTCCCCTCCAAAATAAAACAACCAAGTTGTAGCTTTTTCAAACAAAATGATACTTTGAAATGGATAATGTTTAAATAAACTAAGTTCTATGGTTTTATAGGCGAACTACCAACAAATCTTTAAAAAGTAGATGTTAATGCTGTTTAAACTATTTCAGCTCATAGATAAGAGGGAAAAATGCCAAAATATTTTTAAGAAGTGAGCTTATGCTTTTAAAACATCTGCTTTTCAAACGGCTTTTCAAACAGCAACAACATAGTCTGAATTCATATAAAAAGAAAATATTAGACCAGTGTTTCCATACCTGGCTTTACATTAGATTCCCCAGAGACCCAGGCTGCGCCTTCATAGATTCAGATGTAATTAGTTAGTGCATGGTGTGGTTGGGTCAGTATTCATTTATTATTACTTTTATTTTATTTTGTTTGTTTTTAAAGCTCCCTATTGATTGTAATAAGCAGTTGGATTGGATAATCACTGTTTTAGATCAATGTCTCTCTAGAATATCAGTATAAAAATTCTAAATAAATATTGATATTTGGAATGCAGAAACGTATTAAAATAATACATCATATGACCAGGATCTTTCAACTTTTAAGATGTCTAATAATATAATATTAATGGAAGAAAAATTATATAACCATTTTCATAGATACTTAAAAGATATGTTGTGGAATTTAATATTCATTCCAAATTAAAAAAAACAAAACCCACAAAATGATATATCCATATCAAACCAAAGCCCAACATCATGTTTCCTGGGAAAACATTAGAAGCATTTCTATTTATGTTAGAAACAAGAAAAGTGTGTCCACCATCAACGTCTATTATTACAAGGTGAACTAGCCAATGCAAATAGACAAGAAAGAAATAAAAAGAATAAAAATTAGAAATGAGAAGGTAAAAGTATTGTCTTGTAGGTGATATAATTAAATACTTTGAAAACCAAGAAAATCAACTAAATTTACTGCCACAATAAAATCTCTCAGGTGTTAGGGTGCTAAATTAATACACAGATGTCAATAATTTTCCCATTTACAAACAAGTTAGAAGACATAATGGGAGAAAATACCTGCTTTGCAATAACAACAATAAGTAACATTTAGAGGTATGAGCTTAACAAGAAATGTGAGGCTTCTAGGAAGAAAATTTTAAAATATTTTCAAAGTCCACAAAAGATTGTATGAACAAATGGAAAGGCATAGCATGTTCTTGGATAGAAAGACTCAGCATCATTAAGATGCTAATCCTTCCTGAGTTTACTTATAAATTTAACATGATCCCGATAAAAATACCAAGTCTTTTCTTCCCCAAAACTAGACAAGTTGATTGTATAATTCATATGAAAATCAACAAGAATAGCCAAGAAATTTCTGAAAAAGAAGACCAATGAGGAGGAATTAGACAGACATAGAAAAATGTGTATGGTATGATATGATTTGTGTAGGAGAAGAAGAAAAACTTTATAAATATACATTAAAAATATATATGATATACACATATACTCTACTGTGTAGTGTGTATGTGCATGTGCATTTGGCTTGCATATGCATAGTGTTGTCCTCTGGCAATAGACATGAGAAACAAAGAAGAATCGTAACTTATTCGGGATATGGGCACGAATCTAATTCTGGATAGAGGTAGGAAGCTGAGCCTTGATTGCATGATTTTTATACATTCTGAGGTTTGAATCATGTGATTATATTAATATATTCCAAAATAGATAAGCAAAACACAAACCCATTTGTAGAAAAGTGAGCACAGGACAGCAAGTTGAAACAAAGAAATTTTGAACATTATGAATCAAGGAATATAAATTACAGCAATAATAATGATACTTTATTGATGTATACAATATGTTAGCTACTGTCACAAGCACTTTATAGGATTTAACTTAATCCTCAAGCAATAACCCTGTGACTTAGGTATGTGTCACATATACATAACCCTGTGACATATGTATAGATATGATTTTAGGGGATTTTTAGTTCTCTGTTTCTTTTGATTCCCAAATGTCCTGAAATCACTATTTTTCTTTTTGTTTTCAGAGGAGAAGCAGTGAGTATTTAAAAAGAGAGCTGGTGTTCTTGACCATCCTGTCACTCAGTTGTACTCCATTATTTGCCTGAGTACTTCTGGGCTTTCCTAGATTCCTTCACTATGTGGTTTAAAGAGGTTTAATGGCTTTTTATTGGTTAATTGTGTAGGTTGTCAAATTAATACAGAAGCATTGTTAAAAAATTGTTTGCATGTGACCAATTTTATGATTTAAAACCAGCACTACAGTCATGAATTGATTAACAAATATCTTTGGAATCATCCACTATGTGCAAGATACTCTGCTAGGTACAGAGGGTGATAGGCTTCAGGAGGATGACTAAAAATATAGATCTGGATGCCACTAAGGTCAGGTTCACTGTTGGTTTTCTAAACTCATGACATGTGCATTTAAAGAAACCCACTCAACTTAATAACAGCAATAGTTGTGATGATAAAAATGAGGGTTGCTTAGCTGGGAGAGAGACTATTGCAAAATACAAATAAATGATGATATATCAGAGGCAGAAAATCATAAAGCACATGAGAACTACTTAACACTGTTCAACGACTTACTGGCTGGGTGACTTGGGGAAAATTAACTAATTAAACTAATCAGTCTATACTTTAGTGGCCTCATCAATAAAGTAAGTAATCATGGCACCTAACTCATTGGGTTATGGTACAGATTAACAAATATAAAACTCTCGGGACACTGCCGAGCACATGGTAAGTGCTCAATAAATGAAAGCTATTGTCGTTGTTATTATAGTAAAATCCCAGCTCTCTCAAACAATTTTTGGAACTCAAGTGACTCTAGAGATACTCAATATAAGCAGAGAGGTGATTTAGAAGATCAACTTTTTCCCACAATAATTAACAAATGTGATGGGAATAAACATAGCAAAAGAGAAGGAGGGAAAGGAAGAACAGAATAACGGCATGAAAAGGTAGTGGCCATCAGCAGCAGTGGTGGTGATTAAAATCAACAATGAAATTAGTGATAACACAGAAGTGAGACTGAGATGAAGATACCAAAAATGAGAGCTACACTATACTATCGGGGTAAGCAGGATCCACCCCACAGGAAACAGTCGGAGAAAGCACCGGGCATCTCTAGTGTGCATGTTTGTGGAAGGACTGGTAAAGAACTCTTTGCGCCTTTCTATTATGACCTTTCAAGGCTCTAGGTGTCATTATATGATGCCAAGCAGTAATACTTCTATCTGATAATTTGTATAAAAATTATCACATCTAATTCTATCTCATTAGCCATTATATATTATGGATTTTGATTTTCCTCTAGTAAAAGGCAAAAGACAAAAAGATTATAACAGTTTGTGCAACATGTAAAAGATAAAATGAATATCTTCACATGACTTGGAAGGATTAGTCCAGGAATATTTTATGGGACTTACTTGACTGCATTTGCTGCATTCCAGTTTTAAAACAGAGAGGTGGCCGGGCGTGGTTGTTCACGCCTGGAATCCCAGCACTTTGGGAGGCCAAGGCAGGTGGATCTTCTGAAGTCAGGAGTTCGAGATCAGACTGGCCAACATGGCGAAACTCTGTCTCTACTAAAAATACAGAAATTACCTGGGTGTGGTGGTGTGCGCCTGTAGTCCCAGCTACTCAGGAGGCTGAGGCAGGAGAATCGCTTGAACCCTGGAGGCGGAGGTTGCAGTGAGCTGAGATGGTGCCTGGGCAACAGAGCAAGACTGTCTCAAAAAAAAAAAAAAGAGAGAGAGGGAGAGACAGGGAGGTACTTGGTCAAAAGTCAAGCTGACATCTGGAACCATTTCAAGGAAGTGAGTTTAGGCCCACTTCTGAGATAGTAACCATTCAAAATCTCTTCCTGTATATATATGCAGTTGTCCCTTGATATCCATGGGAGATTGGTTCCAGGACCCCTAGAGGACACCAAAATATGAGGATGCTCAAGTCCCTGATATGAAATGGCGTAGTATTGGCATACAACCTACACACATCCTCCTGTATACTTTAAATCACCTGTAGATTACTTATAATTTCTAGTACAGTGCCTACACATCACTTTATACATGTGGATTCAACATAGTACTTGGCTCGGGCAAATTTTAGTTTTGCTTTTGGAACTCTGTAGAATGTCATGGAGAAACACAGGCCTGGCTTGTGGTACAAGAACAGTGAGTGGTCAGTGTTACTACTTGTTCCGTACAAATCCTACTAGGCAAATTGTATTATCGCTCTTATAAAGATTAATAAATTTAGTATTACTAGGTTTAGGTAAATCACTAAAATCACACAGTAACTTTGGATTGGACTGCAGACGTATTTGACAACAAATCTCTTGTCTTTCACATGTTGGAACCCAGAAACTTTTAATGCAAGAATTTGGTAAAATCCACTTTGATTATCAGAGTTCTATATGTTTTTATGTAACATTGCTTTTTACTGTGTTCCAGCTTTTTGAGCTTTCCCAAAATGTAAGATATTACTGTCTTTATAAACTGATATAGATGTTTGCTACATATAGAGATATTTCATGAACACACACAGCAGACAGAAAACTCTCCTATCTCATGCTTCCTTCAGCTCCCTCTACGTATCTACCGCCTTCAGAACAAAAATTCTTAAATCAGTTTTCTCTACCCTGCTCCTTAACTACCACTCCTGCCTCAATCTGCTAAAATGTCACCACTTCCCCAAAATTGTTCTTGTCATGGCCACAAATTCTCTTTATTTTTTGTAAGTTGAAAGGCCACTGTAATTATAATATTACTTGACATCTCTCAATAATTTGATTGTGTTAGCCACTTCTTTCTTAAAATCTCTTTCCTTAAAATCAGTGACAACTTAGTTGCTGCTTTTCCTTTTACCTCCTTTTACCCCAGTTGTTCTCAGTCTCTTTTGCAGGAACCTCCATTCTAGGTCCCCTTCTCTTCTTCCCTGCCTGATCCTGCCCACTCCTGTGACTTTGCTGCTGTATGTAGTTCTAATCCATACCCCTTGCCTGGTCTCCAGGCCAATCTTTCCAACTGCTTAGTCACTGTATCTTCCCAGCCTTCAGTTTCACATTTCCAAAATTGATTCCAATGTTTTTCCTACCGTCCTATCCTCCTACCCTCCTACTCTAAGCCTGACACAACTCATAATCTACTTATTGTGAGGGTGGAGGAATATGAAGCACAGCATTCAGGACATATTTATTGAATGAATTCAGGAAACACGGAAAGTAGAGCATTCACTTGTTTTTCCTTTATAGCTTAGTGACCTATAATAGGAAGTGCTTAAGAAATGATTTCTTAGAATGTTCCAGTTGCTTGTAAAATAGCTTTTTCTTTTCTTTTTCTTTTTCTTTTTTTTTTTTTTTTTTGAGACAGAGTTTTGCTCTGTTGCCCAGGCTGGAGTCGTGCAGTGGCACGATCTCAGCTCACTGCAACCTCCACTCCTGGGTTCAAGCCATTCTCCTGCCTCAGCCTCTGGAGTAGCTGGGACTACAGGCATCCACCACCACTCCTGGCTAATTTTTGTATTTTTAGTAGAGACAGGATTTTACTGTGTTGGCCAGGCTGGTCTCGAATTTCTGACCTGTGTTGATGCTCCTGCCTCAGCCTCCCAAAGTGCTGGGATTACAGGCATGAGCCACCACACCCGGCTAAAATAGCAAATTATCATTCCTCCTGTGACCTGCACAAAGCATGCTAGGATAACTCTTGCATAAAAGCCAACATTTTGACCTTGGTCCATAACGCTAGTGCCCTTGGTAGCACTCCAGAGTGGATGACCCCTGCAGAGCTCTGAAGTCTCTCTATATGACCCCTACAACTTGTCACTAGACCTGAAATTCTGCACTTCTGAAATGACCCCTATATGAAGTGGCCCACCAAACCAGAATATTTTTAACAAGAATTAAGCACAAGCATAATCATACAGTTTGGTATTTGAATGAGTTGATAAACTAATAGTAGGTTGGTGTAAAGATAATTGTGGTTTTTGCCATTATAGAAAAACTAAAAAATAGAGACCCTTAAAGAGACTGAGGAGATGTCTTTATAAGCAAGTATTACGTCAAAACTTACTATAGACAAAATACACTATATTTCTTGAGCATTTACTACATGCCAGAAAATAGTCTATGAAGTTGGTATGTGTTGATTCATTTAATGTTCCCAACAACTTTATAAGATGATTATTCTCATTTTCTAGATTAGAAACCCAATCACAGGGAGATAAAATAATGTGCCCAAGGTCACACATCTGTGAATGATGAAGCATAACCACCACATTACAGATGAGCTCAGTAAGGAAAGCTTGATTCCTTTACAGGATTTACGGAAAAGCGACATGAAGCCACAGTTCACTAACAGAAAACACATTTAGTAAGCAAATATGTACAAAAATGTTTGTCTGCCTTAGTAAGGGAGAAATACCATACAATAAAATACCACCTTTACATCCCTGAAATGAGAGAGAGAGACAGGGAGAGGGAGAGGTGAAGAGAGACGGAAGGAGAAAGAGAGGGAAGTTGGGGAGAGGAAAAAAAGAAAAAAGAAAGAGAAAAGTGCATACTCTAATCTTGGTGAGGTCGCAGTGAGATTGCATACTTCCTGCCACCCCCAGTTGCAGTGCAGTAGGAGCTGCACTAAAAAATGATAGATCGAGAGTTACAAAGAATCTTTTCCTGAGATTTTTAGCATAAGGAAATAATTTAACGAAAAAGAAAATTTCATGTACCAAAATGATAATTTCATAATTATTTATAGTATAGTGATATTGCAGATGATCTAAATGCCTAGTGATAGAATGTCATCATAATTCATGAAATCTGTAGATTATCCAAGCATGAAAATAGCCATTTTGAAGAAGACATATGTAATATAATGTTAAGTGGAGAAATCTGAATACAAACTTTGTTATATCAATACCTAATTTTTTGCTTATGTATAGAAGTAAGAACATAGAAAAATTAAAACAGTTGCTATGTTAATTGTGATATTATGATTTTCTTTATTAAATAGCATTTTTTTATTATAACATTGCTTTTGTGATAAGTGAAATTGAGAAGTAAACCAATTAGCTAGATGAGATATGGGGAAGCTTTGTAAACGCTCAGTACCATTATTTTGGGATGAGCGAAAAAGTTACAGTTATGTACTAGAAAGAGGCTGGGGCTTTGAGTGTAAATAAATTTGGTCGTTGAATTCTGGCTGCAGCATGTGGTTTTAGGTCAATCACAGCAAATTTGACCCTTGGTTTTTTTCATCTGAAAAAAGTCTAGACACTTGGATTAGTAGTCAATAAAATTTAGTTTTTTTTCTGAAGTGATCCTCCTATGAATTTCAGGTTGTAAAAAGCAAGTAAAAACCAACCAAACAAGAAACTCACACCACCAAAAGTCTAAGTTAATTCTATCCAGTCCTATCAATTGAAAAATACTTCCTTTTAAAAAAAAAAAAAAGGAAAAAAAAAGAAAAATACTTCGTTTGGGCCAGGCGCGGTGGCTCACTCTTGTAATCCCAGCACTCTGGGAGGCCGAGGCGGGCGGATCACGAGGTCAGGAGATTGAGACCATCCTGGCTAACACAGTGAAACCCCTTCTCTACTAAAAAATACAAAAAATTAGCCGGGCGTGGCCGCAGGCGCCTGTAGTCCCAGCTACTGGAGAGGCTGAGGCAGGAGAATGGCGTGAACCTGGGAGGCGGAGCTTGCGGTGAGCCGAGATCGCACCACTGCACTCCAGCCTGGGCGACAAAGCGACTCTGTCTCAAAAAAAAAAAAAAAAAAAAAAAAAAATCTTCGTTTGATAGCTGCTTTGCTGAATCGCAGCATCTGTATCTTCTTTTTTAATTTTTGAAGCACTAGAATAAGTATTTGGAAAAAGAAATTTTTGCTTTGTCTAATTATTGAAAATATACCTGTGTCTGGCCAGCATAATGGTAACCCATCCCTGTCTGTGGCTGTCAGAATGGGAGATTTAGAAGACACCAATGTAGGATGAACATTCTAAATTTATGAGCGCAACTCTTCTTATCTGATTCAAAAGTTGGAAAGAGTCATCCAATAAGCTAAATACTTAGAGGCGAAATGAATTAAGTTTTCTTTGAGAACAGCATAAAGTCTTTCTCCTAATTATGCTAATGATTTCCTCGGCAAATAGAAATGTGTTATATTCATATTACTGGTGGTACTTTAGATAATTTTAGGTACTTTATATATATTTTAGTTACTTTATATATATTTTAATAATTTTTAATGATTATATTTTTATTTTACTGTGTATTAGAAAAAAATAGTCACCAAAGCTTCATATGCACATGCATATACTAGGAATTATGCAAGATGATCTATTTTGGTACAAGAAATATAAAGGAACTATTTACATTCCTTTCTTAATTGATTCTTTCATTTTTCTTTTTGTTATAATATATATATTATGCAGTAATAAATGTACATTGTTATAAATAAAACAAATGACTGGATGTACATGCTAAAAATATTTGACTTATAAGATATAGAAACCGCTGTATTTGAACAATATTGGTTTTCCATCTTTAGTACTGGTATAAAGTTTCCTTTGAAAATTAAATTACAAAAGTAGTTAACATAGAGTAAACAATAGTACGGATAGTAACACAGATAAGTCACAGACCAGGGTAGTGAGATAAGAATTACTAAAGTTTGGAAATCCTCACAGAGAGTATTGGATGATAGAAGGCATATGGCAGTATCCAAATAAAAGCACATTCATCTGCTAGCCTTTTCCCATGCTCATGGGTATCTGGAAAAGCCGGTCATCCTAGAATAGCAGAAGGTCATTAATCCTGATTAGAAAAAGGGTGGAGAGGACACTGAAGGCATTCGGTAGGCCAGTTAAGAGACTGGTGCCAGGACACAAAAGATCATAGGTGCAGGGGTCAACATCTGCTTCTATGTAGTGTCTATCTACTACTTTCAGACTTATGCCTTCTTACTTAAAGTTCTAGTTCATGACTGATTTGGAGTAGAAGGAGATTTGAAATTCCAATAGCATAAGAAAAAGGTGTAGATAAAAATAATTCATTTAGTCAAATATTTTGCGTACACATTTTTTTTTGCAGCCATCCCCCACCACCATACCAAAGTGGAGGTACTGCAAGAAAATGAAGCTGAAGCTGCTTACCGGGCAAATTGGAAATAAATCCTAAATAGTGTATTTTTGACACTAAAGATAAAGTACCCCTTCAAAGTATCAATTTATAAATTTATACATGCTTTGATTTTTTTAAAGAAAAGTAGAAAACAGTCTGTATATTTCTCTTAAAACGCTTTAAGGTGAAAATACTACAGAAGAAAGTCTCCAGGTTTTGACCAAATGTTCTAGTTATGAATCTATGTAATCATTAGAGAAAGAAGTAACCACTTCAGTGTGAGAATCATCTTTTCTAAGCCATTTGTATTATGTGAGATAGAGGGAAAATAGGTTGTGGTTATTTTTGCCAAATAATTAGCTATTATTAACATGAAAACTATGTATCAACAAAAGGACTGGAAGAACACCCACAGTACTTAGGCCAAAGTAAGAAATTGTTGATTGCTGGATTTTATGCTCAGGGACATTTTAAAAAAATTAACAAGGGAAAACACCAGCCCATCTGCATTATGATGGTTTTGAATTCAGTTTCATTTCTAGTTATAAGGATTGTAAGGAAATTTTTGATCTTTCTTTTGCATCAGCCTCAGTTCACTCCCTTTGCAGCACTGCATAATTGTTGCGTATTTACCTCCCTAGAATTTGCCTATGCTTGTCACTAGTGGGTGTGAATGCAGCATAAGGGGAAGGATACAGGTGATGTCTAGGAACCTCAAGTTGAACTTTTGCCTTCTTGAACACTGCTGGGGCAAAAAACTAAAAGCCCTAGAGACTTCCAGCTCCTGGTAAGTATGACTCATTAAGTACCAATCTTTAATAAATCTGCCTGGTCAGACTCATTCTTTTACTTAGAGAAATATAGGTCTGAAGAGAATTTTGAGCTGTCATAAAATTCATCTCTGTTGATTGTACTCAGGACTAACCAGAGACTCAAAGATGTTGGCCCAAACACTTATTTTTCTCATTGCAGTGGCTGACAGCTTTCATTGCTGAATCTATGCTATGGCTTATTTCTTTTTGTGTGCTTTTTCAAGATGAAAAATCACTAGAAGCTTTTGAAGAATATTTTATTTTGTTTAGAGACAAGTGTCTTGTGGTATTGCCCAGGCTAGCCTTGAAATCCTGGTCTCAAGTGATCCTCTCACCTCAGCTTCCCATGAAGCTAGGATTATTGGTATGCACTATAGTGTCCGGCTGAATATCTTTTTTTATATGGGGAGAATATCCCTTTTAGACATTTCTTAAATATGCAGTGATACTGGGAGTTTGACTGATAGACTTAAAGCTCTTTGTTTGGTTTAAAATTAATATTAATGCCATTTGCCTTTAGCTTTTCCCGATTGGTCAGCGATGTCTTATAATCCAGCTCATCTTTTTATTTTTCCTTCATTATTTCCGTGGGAGAGAAGCCCATATAAAACACACAAACACAAAGATAGTAGAGGTCCTATTTAGGTCTTTGACTTTTATAAGCTTTTTTCTGTATCTCATCTTAATTAGCAAGCGAGATCAGAGGAAACATACTGAACATAAGAAGAGAGAGGTGATGAGACAAAGGCTTTAGGAATATTATTGTGTCTCTAATAGTTTCATGTGGGTTGAAGGCCATCTGGATGGCATTATGGGAAAAGGGCAACCTGCTGGGATATTTGGAAGAGAATCAGGTTTATTAGATAACTTGTGCAATAAAATTCAAATTTTGGAATACCTGAAAGGAACAAAGAAGTGAGGGAGCTATAAAAAGAAATATTTGATTGTCATATGGGTACTCTAGAAGTGAATATGATATTATGGACAGGAGCAGTTGTTATTTTAGGGAGCATATTGTTCATATGACCCAAAAAAACAATATGGAGTTACTCAAAACAAAGAAGACAGAATTCATGTGCTCGCAGTTGGTTTTTAGGAATGTACCTCGGCCTTTATAACTGATAGAAAAATATGAAATCTCCCCCTCTTTTTGAAGCAAAATATTCCTTTTTCTAGTTTTCTCTTGACTTTTTAATGTTTAGCTCATGTTAAAGATAGAATTCTGGTCCTCATAGATTTTCTTGAATTTTGTACAGTTTTTAAGGAGAAAAACTTTTTATCAATTATTTCAGTATTTTCCTTTAGAAAAAGCATGCTTATGAAGAACCGTTAAATTTATGTTACAGTTTAATTGTTCAGATGATACATAAGATAGCATTTTAGTCCAGTATTCTCGAATAAAAGAATGTGATCTCTAAGGTTAGAAGCACTAACTTAGGGAACTGAAGTGCACGGTGTACAGCAGCTTTCAGTTCTGAATTTTTACCAGTTTGGTTTATGTGGCTGGTAAGAAAAATCTACATGAATGCATGTGGGGCAATTGTTGCCATTCTTTACATTAGGACATGTTAAACTGTAGGAAAGCCATCTATATTTGCCAACAAAATTGCTGAACTTTTGGTAATAATTTGTCCCCAATAGTGTCAGAAAGACAAAATGTAAGTGGCTGTACTTAGTTACATAGTAGTCATCCAAAGAATTTTAAAAAGGTATTTATCTTTAAACATAGTCTAATTATACTATGTATTAAATATATATATAATTAAAGTGAAAACATATGTTTTAAAAAATCTCTTACAGGTCTGCCATCTATGGCCTCTACTTTGAGAATTATTGGCCAAAACAATTTCTTCTTCCTATCTATTTAACTGTCACGTGCTATTGTCTCTATGGCAAAAAATAGGGGATGAGAGCAGGTGTAATAAATCCATGCAGAAGAGATCATCATTTGATGTTAGATTTCCAAGACATTTAGCATTTGCCCAATTCAACTACCTTATGTTGACAGAAGACTGACCCAATGAGATGAAGTGATTTATACGCAGTAGCACAGCTAACGTAAGACTCAACCCCAGGACTCCTGACTTCCAGTTTAGTACACTCTGGTGTACAGCTGTCAGAAAGAAATACAAATGCATTTTTATCAGAGCAGTGGAAAGAAAGAAAATAGTATTTGGTTAATATGGATACATATAAAATTAGATTACTTTGGTTTCTAAATTTTCCTTTCTTGTTGGATTAGGTTAGTTTAAAATATATTGAGCTTTATTTCATTTTTTACTTTTTATTTTTGCTTTTAAATGCTATAACTTAAATATTAAGGTAGAAAATTCTTTTCTGTTCTCCAGTTGAAGAAAAAGATCTCATTTTATGAAGTCATTTAAGGCAGGAATATTAGGAACTGCCAAATGAAGAGTGGATATGTCTATTTGGGGTGATGTGGAGTATGGTGGAAATGCTTTGGGGGTATCAAACCTGGAACATCAGATTTGAAGGGAAATTAACTTTTCTGTGCTGTTCTGCTTCATTTTATGCAATTCCATTCAACTTTTCACTCCTCACCAACCTCTGATTTACCCATTTGGACTGTATCATACATCAGCTTTTGGGGGGCTTGGTTTTCTGTCTATCCACTCAAATGCCGGTCATTAATGTCAACCTGTCTGTTTCCATGTCAGGTTTCACAGAACTCAACTGCACATGTTCTTTCTGTCACAAGTTTTCTTTTCTTTTTTTTCCCTAAGACAGAATTTCATGCTTAGTCAAAAGAGGTAATGGAAAGTAAAAAATCCATTTAACTTTCAGGTATTTTTCTGTGTTTGTGCTCAAAATTGGATATTATTTAGCATTGTATTTATTAGAGGAAAAATGATTTTTGATGCTCATACTTCATCTTCTCTTTTCCATTAGTATGGTTAGACATTCCAGAGTCTGTACAAAGGAAATCAGCAGAGTAAGAGACTGAACAAGGGGGAGAGTAATGCCAAAACTGTCTTCACTCACAAACTATCTTAATATTAAGCAGGTCACACAAGGAGGAGAGCAAATGCTGTTCTTGAAAAGATAATGCATTGAATATTTAACAAATGTTGTGTGATGTAATTACTTGGAAAACATAGTACCTTTTCCAATTTAGAGGGATACTCAAAAAAGGAAAAAGCTGAGGTTTTGTTTTAATAATTAAAAAATGCCTACAATAAAAATCTCATGACTATAAGCATTTGATATTTAGGGATTTTATATATTTGTATGTGATTTCTATAATTCAAGTTTTGAAGAAATAAAATTATAGCAGTTGCTACCTTTTGCTGATATGAAGGTCAGCTGTGTGCTAATAAAGTTTGTTTAGTGAAGGCCAGCCATCTGCTAATGAAGTTTGCTCTACATCAACTCATTCTGTATAGTTAGGTAAATGATGTCATCTTTATTTTATAGATGAAGACACTGAGGTTCAGAGGTGAGAAGTAACTGCTAAGATTGCACTGCTGTCATATGCCAGAGCTGGGAAGTATCTAGGCTTTCTGGTGCCGTCCTTCTCACTGAACCCTGTAGCCACTATGCAATGAAGCCAGCATAGTACTTCACTGGACCAAAACCATGGCCCAGTTAAATTGATGTCAGCCGCAAAGGGCTCACAAATGATTGTGTACATGAAAACAGGACATATTTAACAACCTTTGGGTTAACATTTTAGGATCTGAATATGTGATAGACTGTTATCCTAAAACCTGAAGAAATAATAGGGATATCTGCTTTTTTTTTTTTTTTTTTTTTTGAGACGGAGTCTCGCTCTGTCGCCCAGGCTGGAGTGCAGTGGCGGGATCTCGGCTCACTGCAAGCTCCGCCTCCCGGGTTCACGCCATTCTCCTGCCTCAGCCTCCCAAGTAGCTGGGACTACAGGCGCCCGCCACTACGCCCGGCTAATTTTTTGTATTTTTAGTAGAGACGGGGTTTCACTGTTTTAGCCGGGATGGTCTCGATCTCCTGACCTCGTGATCCGCCCGCCTCGGCCTCCCAAAGTGCTGGGATTACAGGCGTGAGCCACCGCGCCCGGCCGATATCTGCTTTTTTATAATATCTCTTTCCTGTACTCAGAATGCCCACTTCTTTCTCTAGTCCTCAATGTTGAAACTTCATCCATCATCCATCTTTCAAAGCCCAGATTAAATTAACACACTGTATGGGCTAATTCCAATCAAAAGTGATCTATTCCTTCCAAGACTGTGACCATTTCATTTTAATGAGGACTTTTGACTCTATGTAGAGTACTGATGTCTGATTGCCCCTCTTGTAGAGCCTGCCCATATAGATACAGTTCTGTCTGACTCCTCTTGGTATTTCATATTGCAAGTGGCTTGCTTCTAATGATATCTTAATACTAACTTGTTGAACAAATGAAATGACAATAAAGACAGGAACTGCCATGAGTTTCTAACATAGAGGTTCTATAGATGGGATGATGATGATGATGATGAGCTAACATTTTATCCATACTTAGTCTGAGGAAAAAAACTGTGAAAACTGTTTTATAATCACATTTTGCCATCCTAACAATACTCTTAAGAAGGGATTATTATTATCCCAATTCTACAGATCAGGAAATGGTCTCAATGAATTAATATAGTATGCCTACATTCACAGAGATAGTAGGTAACAGGGCTAAGATTTAATCCCAGGTCCATGTGACTCTGCAGCTAAAGCCTCCAGGCCATGGAAATGAATATCTTTTTACTCCTCTGTGTTTGCTCCAGAACTTAAGGCTATACAAAGTCTCCTCAGATAAAGCCATAGCCATCTAAGAGATGGGGCAGCAAAAGAGGGGAAAACCCAGGGCTACTAAATGTACTTGTGCAAAGTGTACATGCGCACAGACCTCCATGTGAATAGTAGCTCCTGGAGGTAAGTGTTCAGTGCACAATCTGCACAAACTTTCATGACAGCCCTGAAATTTGTGCCTTATTTGAAGCAAGCAATTCCCTCACTCTTCCATCTAAATGTTGACTGGTTAGGGGGACTATACATTTCTCCTGTTTACTCCAGGGATTATTTTAGTCAAAAGACAGATACAAAAAAAATCTACATCTTAGCTTTAAGTTCTGAAATAAGCACAAAAGGGAAAGGTAACTTGTTGTATACAGTCAGAATCTCATTTTCTAAAATAATTATTAACAATAAATACTCATAAAAGATTTTAAGTAATAAGTAATTATAATTCTGAGTAAGTATTAAAATATCATTATTTCCCAAAGAATTAAAACACATTGGTGAACAGTATCTTTGATTTTTCTCAATGTTATCCAATAAGGATTCTCCTAAAGGTGATTTCGGATTCATAATATTGTAGGCACTGAAAAATAAATAACCTGGCAGATGCAATGCCACATGACAGATCTGAAAGCATGTTCCTTTAATCTGTGTCTCACTGTTTCACTAATCTATCTTTTTAAATATTTCCAAAGGTCTCCCCAAAGTCTTAGCTTGAGTTAACACTCTAAGCTCTTGATATTCATTCCTTCATTTAGAAACTATTATCCAAGCCTTGAAAAGAGCCACTTAGCCATTCATTCTAGGAAAGTAAAGATTTATTCTGGTGAGCTTTCAAAAACCTTAACTTTCATTTCATTAGTCATTCATGTATTGTCATAGCAGAGCGAAAGTGATGGCAGTACACTTCCATTCTCTAGGCAAGTGTGATTCTTATATGTAAAGATGCACAGGGTATCTGATGCTCAAATAAGAGGTCTAAGTCATGGTCAAAATTAACCTAGGAACCTATCTTCAAGTGTTTTTCTAACAACAATTGTTGTTCTCCTGCCAAAGCAAAGTTCCCCTTGACCATGTGTTTCCAATTGCTTTCTCCGTGTGTAGTCAATTTTGTGCTGCTTTCCTATTTTTTACTACCTTATCCCCTCAGCTTTTTCACACCCTGTTTCTTAACTGATTTTCATGTCAGCCTTGAGCCCTCATTGTAGCAGAGCACCTTGGTTTCCCAGTCCTTTGCCTACCTGCTTTTTGATACCAACACTGCCCGGCTAGCTGCTTGGCTGCTCTGTGGCTGATGCCCACTGCCACCACGTTGCCTTTTCTCTTATTGTCTAAGTTTCCTACCACTTCCTCAGCCTCCTTAGTCATCAGTGTCTTACCTCTGCCCCTCCTGCAAATAACTCCTCACCTAGTCAGTGAGTTGCCACTGATTAGGGGGGAGAGTCACTGATTTGGGATGTTAATGATCTTTGTTATAGAAACTAATGGAGAAATTTTTAGGTTGATGATGGCCAAGTCTTTATTCCAGTCTAGAACTTTCTGCTAGTTTCCAAACTCAAATATCCAGATAATTTTGTCAAAAATGTCTCCCTAGTTTTCCCACACTATGTATGTACAGTATTGAGCTAGTTATCTCCCATCTCCCATAAACCAGTTGTATCTTCTGTATTCACTCTTTCCAATGATATCATCCTGGCTAGAAGCCTGAGGATAATTCTTGACATCTTTTTTTCTCTCCTTCCCTCCCCACATCCAGTAACTTGGGAAATGTTGTCACAAAATCCAAATCATGCTGTCCTCTCTGTTCTCCTTTCTCTAATGCTGGTTAAGGCCTTATCATTCATTTTTTCAGCTCAATCTATGTCATTTCTCCAGCCTTGCCTCCCTCAGTGTGGCTTTTTGGCTTCCTCTCATGTACAGGATAAAGTAAACATTTTTTATTGTGACTTTATTTTATGACCCCTGGTTCTGCTTTTATGTCTTGCCAATCAGTGCCCCATTCTCTATGTTTCTTGGCACCATAATCCTTGGAGTTCTTCATATCTCCATCTTCGCTTTCTTCTTGGTGAATTTGTGACATTTCTTCACATGGACTTTGCTATCCATTTCTTGTTTGGCAACTGTTATGCACTTTCAGTTTGAGAATACATGGTTTTATTTAATTTGGAAAAATTTTGAGCTATCATCTTCTCAAACACTGCTTATCTGCTGCTCCCTCAAATCTCTTCTGCTTGGATGCATGAATGTGTATTGGAGTTCCTCATCCTCTATGTCTCCGAGCTTCCCTTTTCAATTTTTATCTTCACATGCTTCATTACTGTTTGACACCTCAGATATTGTCCAATTCACCAGTTTCTCCTTTAGCTGGTGTTTGTCTACAGCATTTCCAATTAATTGTTTTCTTTATTTTAAACATTTTGTTTCACATTTTTGGAATTCTAATTAAGTGTCCTTTCAGATACCCAGTCTCATTTCTATTTATTCTGTTTTTTTTCTTAAATTTCCTATTACCTTATTATTTATTCTAAATGCCATGCATATCTTCATCATTTTGATGATGTTAAATATAAGTATTTTAAAGCTACTTAGGAACTTTCTAGTTATTTTCATTTCGCTTAGGGTGTGTCGTTCTACTGACTTATTGATTTTATTGGTTTGTTCTCCTAGCTCTTTTTCTCTCATGTATTTTGGAATTTGAATCTTCAGACTAGAATTGAGTGGGGTTTGTTTCATTGCCTTCCTGTCCTGCACTCATCCCTTCCTATATTGCCTTCCTGTCCTGCACTCATTGCCTTCCTGTCCTGCACTCATCCTCCTCTATATATAGAGACTTTTGAGCTTGTCTCTATCCAGTCACCCTGATTCTTCAGTTCACAACTAGGTCTTTGATTGCCCATGTAGCAGTTTTTTCTCGTGATGAAAATGAGGCTAAAACAGATGTTATTACTGAGTCAGTGAGAGCTGTCAGGCTGTGTATGCTACTTCCAGCCATGTAACTACAAAATTTTATGTAAATAATAACCTTAGACAGAGGGCACTATTGAGGAAGACTGACAGGGAACTGCACTGACGTAATCCCTCTGGTTGCTTCTCCACCTTATCACTGATTCCTCTCAGGGAGAAGGAGTGACTTATTGGCTTAGAGAGTTTTTGAGATGGAATGAATGTATGTGGTTTAGATGCTTTGAGGTTTTTTCTTTGAGACTGTCTGCAAGTGGCAATGAGTGACTTCTGGTTTGCCCTCTTGGCCAAGATCTAATCTCAGCAGGGAGGCTCTGACTTTGCATAGGAGTGAGCAGTTTTGCATCCCTTCTGTTACTGGGTGGATAAATCTGTCTAATTCAGGAGACTGTTACCAACCCCACTGGCTATGCATCTAAGCCACACTCTCCAATTTAGCATTTATCAGCAATAAGGGATGCATTTTGATATCCATCTTTCTTACTCTCATTAATCTTTCCCTCTTCCTCTTCCTCTCCCTTTTCCTCTCCCTCTCCACTGGTTCTGAACTTGAAGAGGTAAAGAGATGCTATATATTGGGCTTTCTTGTAATCTAGGAGTGGTCATAGTCTTTTCACAGGCAGGTCTCCAGTTCCAAGCCTATCTCTAAACATCAATCTTGCACAGGGCATTCTTAATCTCAGTTTACTCACAGAAGCAGGAATTCCTAGCTTTCTTGCCTGGTTCGATAGCCTAAGAGCAGCAGAACCACAGTTTCAGGACCAGGCTTGAAAGATTTATGTTACTTGTCTGCTTTCAGACCACAGAGATATCTAACTTATTTATTTGATCTCAGCAGTGCCTTTTGGATTTTATCTATAACATTTTTATATTTTGCTACATTTTAATAGCAGACAGAGGCCAGTGTGTAGCCACGTGGCTTTATAATTTTGTGTTAGCCTGAAATCCTTCTCAGCAACTTTGTGCATGTTATTTCCTCTACCTGACATGCCTTTTGTGTCTTGTGTCTCCCTTGACCTAATTATTATTTAAGACACAGCTTTGATGGCACCTTTTTAAGAAAACTTGCCCTGCAAAGTTAGTCACTTCACTTCCAACCTGGAAATGATCCTTTTAGGTGTCTTCCGCACTAGGTTCTAAAATCCTTTAGGGCCAAGATGGTATCTTATACATTTTTGTGACTCCAGCACAGGTCCAGTGCCTGATATAAAAGCATCTTTAATAAATGCCTTTTGATTTATTAAATCCTTATATATATTATAATGCTTGTTGATTGAATAAATGCTTTTTGAAGTAAAGGTGTAATTGTGTATTTGCACTGTGGAATCATGTACAAAGTTTCCTCTTTTCTTTTTTACTGGAATGTCATTATCATTTCCATCCACATTACCTTAATTTAAGGAGTCATCATATCTGAAAAGCAGCATGGTAAGATGGAAAAAAACATGGTCTTTGAACTCTACTAAGACTACAAAAATTAGCCGGGTACAGTGTCAGGCACCCATAATCCCAGCTACTCGGAATGCTGAGGCAGGAGAATCACTTGAACCTGGGCAGCAAGGTTGCAGTGAGCTGAGATCACGTCACTGCACTGTAGCCTGGGTGACAGAACAAGACTCCATCTCAAAAAAACAAAAACAAAAAAAAGAACTTAAATTCATAGTTTTCTTAATATTGATGAATCTCTATGAGTAACTTTCTTAATATCTATGAATAGCTATCACTAGCTTTCTTAATACCTATGAATAGCTATTTTCTTGTCTGTAAAATGGGGTTAACAGGATAAACCTTGCATGATCTGATTATGATATTAAATCACAGATCAGGCAGGGAGCTAATACTTCTTATTCTCCCATTCCTACATTGGTCCCCTTGTGTTGAATGATGCAATGATTTCCTAACAGAAATGTAGTTTGTCTGCATTCAGAAATTCCCCTATGGTCTTGATTTTTCCCTATAAGCATAATCAGAGGTGGTTGCTCAGAGGGTATCTTGAAATGTTGATCCGTCCTCCCCTTAGGCTTTTTCCTGGCAAAAGCTGTATCGTTCCTCCAGTAAAGGCTGACAACATAGAAGGCACTCTCCTAACAGGATTTTGAAGAGAACGCATATTAGAATCTTACTGTTAAAAGCTTGAAAATACAATTAAACAATATTTTAAATTGAAACAACACTAGAAGAATCCCTGTCACAGCACCACTTCTGGACAGGCAAGACATACTATCACTGTGCAAATAAAAGTGGCAAATTGCATGTACATATGGAAGGCTGAAATGAACTTTTTCATATCCAGGAGCTGGATATTTTATTCTCAGTTTCACTCTAAATAAAAAGGAATGTCAAGGATGGTCTTATTTAATTCTTTAATCTTCTTTGTGTTGTTGTTTGCTCTTTCTGAGTAGGAATAGGGAATAAAATTCACTTCCTTAATTCTCATTAATGTGTTAGAGAAGTGGAATGGGATGAGGTTTGTTCATCCTCATTGCTTCCTTTTTCTGGGCTGGAGGCCATAAGGCACTTGGCTTCTAGAGCTCAAGCTGTTCTGTTCTTCAAATATCCCCTGACAATCAATTTATTGAGTGATCCTGATGTTGCTCCAGGGATGAGATGACAATTACAGACCCACCAGGAAGCAAAAAGGTGGCGAGAACAGCAGTTACTATACAATGGTGAGGATTCAGGGATTTGTCAGAATATGAGTGTGAGGCGAGAGTGAGAAAGAATGGTGTGTGTGTGCGTGTGTGTGTGTGTGCATGTGTGTGTGTGCGCGCGTGTGGGTTTTCAGCAGTGAGGATACACTGACTTTGATGTTTAGATGTACTTAAAATATGCTTCTACTCAGCAATAAATGCAATCTTAGCAATAGGAGAAAGGACTAGAAATAAGGGAATTTATAAAGAAAGAAAAGTGGAACAATGGCTTTTGAATGAAGGCCCCTTCTACTATTAGAAGGCAAGAGCCACTCTTCTTCTATAGATGCCACATGTGAGAGTGAACATCAGAGTGGGAGATGCTGGAACATGTTTGACTTTGAGTGTTGAGTTGAAGCCAAACTTCCGTCAAGACTGGCTGAAGATTGTTCAATTTTTAGAACTGCTTTCTTTCCTCCAATATGTGAATTCTTTGGATTCTATAAGTGATGATGATTGAGAGGAGGTCAGTGAAAGGGGAAAGCCACTGTTTTTTAAAGTGATTTGACTCTTTTATTGTTTTCCATGATTGATTGGATAGAATATGCTTCAAGTAGCAAATTTCACATAAATACTTTGCTGTAAGTTCTACTGGACATATAAGAATAGGGAAGGGAAGAAAATCTGGCTTTATTTCTCTCTCCAGTAAACATATTAGCAAATCCACTTCCCTGTGTCCATCAAAAAGGTAAATTAAAAAAAAATACATAAACAAACATAGCAGATGGATGCAGGATGTAACCCATTGAAGCTTGATCAGTTTATATTTATTTATTTGTTCTCGGTAAGCCAGTCATCTCATATGGGATTCAAGAAATAAGCAGGAGCTGTGACACCTCCGTTATGGTGCTCAACAAGAAACACTTCCCCAGATTCTTTGAAATAAAGCTAAAAGTAAATTAAACATAGTAGGCTTCACTTTTTTGAATGAAATTCCAAGAGTGATCTTTGTTTTGCTCAGTATTTTATCTCTTCTTGTTCTGAGTGAGTTGGGAAAATTAGGTAGTTCTTATTTATTCAGAGGAGGACCCTGTAGTATTATACCATCAAGGTGAACTAGAACAGGGATCCCCAAACCCTGGGCCACAGACAGGTAGGTACCTCTTAGGAACTAGGCCACGCAGTAGGAGGTAAGTGGCAGGCCAGCAAGCATTACTGCCTGAGCTCTGCTTCCTGTCAGATCAGCACTGGCATTAGATTCTCATGAGACTGTGAACCCTATTGTGAACTGCGCATGCAAGGGATCTAGGTTGTGTGCTCCTTGTGAGAATCTAATTCCTGATGAACCCCACACCACCACCCCCTTCATAAAAAAACTGTCATCCATGAAACTGGTCCCTAGTGCCAAAAAGGTTGGGAACCACTGAGCTAGAGAAAGCTCCACAAGCGTATCTTTTGTGTTTGCATTTTTAAACAGGTTATTCCACTGGAGACTGGAATTTAAAATATCTTTACATTTTCCTCTTGATTTTATTTTAATAAATAGTGTTTTTCTAAGAGCTAAAAACCCCTAATTTTACGAGAACATTTTGTGTAAAGTCAGATCCAAATTCCAGACACAGTGATAGCAACTGCTACACATCCTTTTACATAGCTCTTGAGAATATTAAGGCGTTCCATACCAAATTTCTATGTTAAAGGCTTGTGAATAGGATTAAATTCGACCCAAAGCAAGGTGGCAAAAATATGTCATCCAGTACTTATAAAGCAGCATGAATGAAAATGGACTCCGTCCAGTTTTGATGTAAATTATAAACAATTAAAAGTACATGAGTTACAATGCCCAGAGCTGAGCACTGAGGACATTACTGCACACTTGAGATAACTTTGGGAACTGAAGAAGCAATCGTTTCACAGTATGACATGAAAATAACAGACAATATTTGTGTCTGCAGAGTCAAGCACAATCTTGTGTGCCTTTATCATGTAGGGGATTTTTTTCAGCACGCTGGCAGGAGCATGAGTGATGCACAATGGCAGTGGTGAATAGTTTTTGGAATAGATTAGTAAGTGACGTCACAGATAAAGGACTATTTATCACCATAATTTAACACAAGGTGCAACACAATGGCTTGATGGATGCATTTTATGGTTTTCAGCCAGTCATAATAATGGACCTATTGACTAAAGTTTTATGTGTCCTTTATGCATCCTTCATGTTTTAGAAAAAAAGCAGGGACCACGCTGGGGTAGAATGAGTGATAATTCAGAAAGGACCAGCCCTTTGTGGAGTATGTTTTTCACCTGCTCAGGCTCCTATCCCCGAGTCTCTGGGGCTCTAAGCTCAAACTACCAAAGGCCAAGGAGACAGCCGAAGCTAAATTAAAGGAAACATCTGAGATGAGAGACAATGTTGCTCTGCCTCACCACTGAGGTCAGTCAGCAGGGATGGGAATCACTTAGGGAGCCGAATTACTGTCACTTCCCTAAACAAGGGAAGGGGTGCTGGTTAGGGAGAATGATACCTCTCAGAGAATTTCTTAGCTAGTAGGGTCTGTAAAGATGACAAAGGAGGTCAGAAAACATTCTTTCAGAGAAAATGATGAATTCATTATGTCCGATCAGAGAATTTCCTTAAAGAAGGGGAGAGTATGCAGTGTCTTCTTTTCCCCCTCACAAACACTCTTAGGGATACATTTTTTTTTCACTGATTTTCATGGACTTTTGGACTGCTATAAAATATTGGGCTAATTTCTTCTTATTATTTTAAAAATGATTCACTTGTGGGCAGTTGGAGAACCAAAGACCCTAATGTTGTTTTCTTTACAAAGAAGGGCTCAGAAAGTAGAAGAATTGGATATTTATGTGATCAATGTTTTATCATTTCTCTCACAGCCAGCCAGGACTAGGATGTTTTTTTCAATTGAATACAGCAAACAAGCAAAAATATTAGATGATGAAGTGACGACACTACACTGACAAAAATTATTTTCCTCAATCTCAGCACATAGGTACCCATCTCTTACTGACTATTCTTTCCCTTGTCTGCCAAGTGAGGGTAATAATATCATGACCCTCATAGGAAATTTGGGAGGGTTCAATGGGACGATGTCAAGAAAAGCAATTCATATATATGCATAACTCTTATGTCCAAGGCATTGTCCAAGTTTTACATTTCCCACCAACTTGCCTACAAGGCACAGGGGTGGAGAGCAGAGAAATAAGCCGCTGGGTTCTAATCTTGGGTGGTGGTCATATCATTTGAGAAATCAGGAAAGGTTTAACATTGGTAACCCTCAGTTTCCACTTATTTAAAATGGAGTTTATATTAGTACCAGCTTTATCCGATTACTCTGAAAATGAAATAAGTTAATGAATGTAAAGGACTTGTCTGTAATAAGTATTAAATAAATAGAAGTCATTGTTATGACTAATCCTGCTCTTGGATTCTTTTAGGAGGTAGCCTGCCAGTAATGAAAGGACCAGTTCAGCTCTCATTATGAATATTTTTAACAGTGTAGATTCTATATTTGTACATGCTATCTGTTTGTGCTTTAGTTATTTGCTCCAAAGTATTTTTCACTCACCACAGTTTGAGATTTGAGTGGAATAAAATATATTTAAATGGCCCTCTGTGTAAAGGGAACATTTAAAAAAAAAAAACAGTAGACAGAGGAATAAATTCTCTATTTATCAATCTATCCATCTATTCATCTAAACTTTTTTGAAATTAGTACCTTATGTAGGGGACCAGATGGCTCAGGAAATTTGTAATCCTCATACTTTGCATTGCCAAAGTGCTTTTAAATTAAAAATCTAAAAGCATCTTACCAATATTAGCTCATAACTCATTAGAATTAACCTAAGATCCTTGGTTCATTTCATCCCCAAGATGCTAATTAGCAAAAGCACTTCTTACTCTTACTGTTTGGGTGGCTTAAATAAAATGGTTACACTTTGTTTCTGAAGAGTATGCATCTGCACTGTGATTGGTCAGTATTCTATAGCTTTGGTTTCACTAGAAAAATTTTAAAAATCATACAAGTAGGCAGAACTTTCAAGATAGAGAAAACTATACAATAGGTATTTAATATTTTGAAGAAGAAAATACTTGAGCAGGAAATGAGAAATAGTGCATGTTTCATCATGTAAATGCCAGTGAATTATTGATGATGTAGAGAGTGTGAAAAAAATTTTGAGATTTTAACTCAAGGAGATATACACAACTTCATAAGAACTCCTGAGATTTAGTGAAGTGAAAATCATGATAGACACTCCTGGTGAGGAAAGTTATACCTCTGTTTGAAGAGACACCTGCATGAGAATGGGAGGCACAAGGCCAAGAGAATGTTACGGGAAATCAGTGAAACTGATGATGCAATGTTCTATTGAAAGTAAAAGTGAGAAATAAAACTAGCATTAGAGAGAGAACATGGATGCTGCATTTCAAGTATAGGTAACATAAATGGATAAGAAACAAGTTGCCTTGGTGATAGTGGAAGTCAGCTACCAGACTATCTGCTGAAATTCTCACTCAGCTACGAGTAGAGCATATAAAACATTTGAGTCTTACCCTACATTTCATGTCTTGCTACCAAGTCTTGTCAGATGAGGCCACCTTCATTTTGTGATAGAACTGGGAAAGGCTTTAGACCTAGTGAACCTGGATTTCAACAACACATTTGGTAAAATCTCTGGTTATCTTTATAGACAAAAATGGTAAAATGTCGATAGGATAATAGGTATGTACATTTGTAACTATTTAATCACATGCCAATAAGTGCTACTTAATGAAGCGAAGTTTATCTTTAGGGAACAAACTGCGCTTGTGCTCCTGTCAATGGTCTTATTTCTTTGCGTATTTTTCACAGTGACTTTGGTGATGACATAAATGGGTTACTCTCTTCTGATTACTAGATGACAGGAAAAAAGTCATGGAACTCAAGTATTTGCTTCATGATCAAAAAGCTCTCTAAAGGATGAAATAATGGGTCAAGCATAATGAAGTGGGAACTAGAAGAGATAAAAATAAAGTTATACACATAGGATCCCCAGATCCCTCTGTTTTAATATGTAATAGGGAATATGAAGCTGAACAGTAGTAACACATTTTATGGAGACTATACTAGTCCATTCTCACACTGCTAATAAAGACATACCCGAGACTGGGTAATTTGTAAAGAAAAAGAAGTTTAATGGATTCACAGTTCCACATGGCTGGGGAGGCCTCACATGGTGGCAGGCAAAGGAGGAGCAAAGGCACGTCTTGCAAGGTGGCAGGCAAGACAGCATGTGCAAGGGAACTGCCCTTTATAAAACCATTGGCTCTCATGAGAACTTATTCACTATCACGAGAACAGCACAGGAAAAGCCCACCTTCATGATCCAGTTACCTCCCACTGGCCCCCTCCCATGATAGATGGGGACTATGGCAGCTACAAATTTAAGATGAGATTTGGGTGGGGACACAGCCAGACCACATGAGAGACTCAATGTTTAATTGATTCTGAAAACCCAGCATATGTCAACACTGTGATGTAACTACTAGAAAAGCTGTGTGTTTCATGGACATTTATATAACGTTAGTACTGATGAGATGACAGATTCCCTTTACCCTGTGCTAGTCAGGCTAGACTTGGACCATGGTGGTTCATTTTAGAGGCCATATTTTAAAAAGACATTGATGAGCTGATATATACCCAGAATTATTGTGGGTGACTATAGAGGAGAACTTGGGACAGTATTTGTAAAATGTAGGGTGAGAGGAGTGGGTTAGGTGGGGTGTTGGGGTTTCGTCGCAGTATCAGGAAGGTACTCCTAAAGACAGATGAACTAGAAGAGTGGAGAGTTGATACACATCTTGTTAGAAATGTTATAAAGGACTTAAGAGTCAGCTGATGTGTTGGACTAGCAACCTCTGATGGTCTTCCAAATCCAAGATGCCAGAAATCTAACAAAATCTTAATTTGAATGACCAATGGATATGAAAGTTGATATTAAAGAAATGAAGTAAATGGAGAATCATTGGCATGCAAAGAAAAAAAAAACCCTCAAGCCAAAATCTCTGGTTCTCTGCCACATGTTTCACAGTATGTTTCTACACATCCTGTTTCAAAGTAGTGCACAAAGAAAAAGGCCCTCAGATGGTAATTAGCCTCTGAACTTTTCTTTAATTTGGAGTTTGAATTAGTTTATTCACGCTTAATAGGGGCCTTTGGGTTGACACCTGGAGGTAGCCTACATGTCCCAAATCTTCTAGCAGGCTTCAGAGATGAACTCAAATCCCTACTATATTTGACTTTCACTGAGCCTTTGATGTTTGCTGTCCCTTGTTTAGGTGCTGGAATAAAAATACTGACCACAAAGACAATCCTATCACTCACAGTTGCATGCAATTTCTCTGAATATTGCTTTCAATCATGAATGATCATTTTTTTGGAAGCAAAGACCAAGTACCTTTTGGGTCAAGATCATCTTCATTAATATATGTTTGTTTTTTCCAAATCTAAATAATGTTTTGTTTCTTTTTCTAAAAGAAGCAGTATTTCAGTACATGCTTCGATGTCTAGCCTTTAGTTTTATTTTGATTTCACAATAAAATATGAGTGTTTCAAAGGCTGGAACCATCTTTGAATCCTCAGCACTTACCTCACTTTTGGCACAGTGCAGGTGCTCAATGAATGCTTGTTGGACTTAAAAGCTTACTGATGATTCGATTAAAGGACATTAAGGAAATATGACAAATAAATACCAGAAGTGATCCTGGATCCTGAACCAACAAAAGGGCCTTCAAGGGACAATGGTTGAAATTTGAATAAGATTTGACTAGAGATTAATTATGAATTTTAATGTTAATTTTCTGATTTTGATAATTGAACTGTGGTTATTAACACTAGTTACTATTGTAAATATAGGAATATTTGAGGAATCTTGTATACAGGGATTCTTTGTACTATTTTTGTAAATGTATTAGAAAACTGAAAAAATAAAAGAAAAATGTTTTTCAATGATATCACTTAGCAGCCTCAGAGGAGATTAGAACAAGATTAGTTAGCATTTTTTCTAAGGCCTAGATATTCATGGGACAGGAGGAAGTGGTCTTGCATCTTGCATAAATCACAAGCTTGTTCTAAGGTACTATTGGCAGGCGTCACTTGGAATTAGCAATATCAGATCACAGGAAAGTGGCTGGTTGTAGAGAAGGCCATTTGTCCACCTGAACTTTATAACTGATTGTCAACCAAACTGATGTAGAGTGAGTTCTCTTTAATTTTACAGAGAGTAGCCTAAAAGATGACTTCAAGCTGACTAGGATTTAATTTTCAATGCTAACCTTCAATTAATTTGTAACTTTTTTGGCACTTGGTTTGCTGCAATGGCTGTAATTATGTTGTTTTCTGAATGATGAATTCATTCAGTGCATACTCTCCAGACTGTTTATACAGCTGGAAAATAGCAATGGTAATAGATGAGGGGAAAGAAGTTAATAACGAACTTACTTAAAAAATTCAGTTATCTGTGTGTGTATTTTTAAGTGTCTCCTGAGCCATTATTTGGTAGCTTAAACTAAATTTTTCATGGCCACCATTTTAAATGAGCTAGTAATAAAATCGCTAGATGTTTTAATATTTTAAATGCTATCTTGAATGTAAATGCATATTTGACATTGCAAAGGAGGCAGCTTAATGCCTTTTAATCCTTAGTTCACCATTTGCTGAAGAAAGCCATGTTGGTTTTCCATTAAGGAAACCAAAGCTGTCATCTACAAATTTCTTCTTAGCCAGTAACTGCTCTTAGCATTTTCTAGAATTCTTTCTATGATCAATTCAAACCCAGGCAGGGTATATTACTGCCATATTGGTTTCAGCTGATGAGTCATAAAAATTGCCTGTCAAGCAAATGAGGAAACTTGCAGATGATCTTTGGAGTTTTATAATACACACTCTTTCACCTTAACTTCTATTTAGACAAAAGAACGTTCTTTATCAGTAGAAATTTTCTTTTGATCGTAAATGCCCACCATGTGGTTTGTAACCTTGTGTTTAACAAAGTACTGCAAGAGCTATCAGTTGGAGTGAGGCTGATTCAGAGTTACACAGACTGCTTGACCCTAGACCCTGAGTTTCTGATTTAGAAGGTCTGGGATGGGGCTGGGAATTTACATTTCAAATTAGTTCCCTGGCATTGCAGGTGCTGCTGGTTCAGAGACCATGCTTTGAGAACCATTACTCTAAGGCAGAGGTCAGCAAACTACAGCTCCTGGGTCAAATCTGGCTACCCACTTATTTTTGTAGGAGAGAAATTCATTGAAACACAGTCATGCTCAATTATTTACATATTGTCTACTGCTGCTTTTGAACTACAATAGTAGAAATTCAGTAGTTATAACAGAGACCTGATGGTCTGCAAAGCTTAAAAGATTTATTACATGACTTTTATAGAAAAAGTTGGCCAAATCCTACCCTAAGGTGTTACCTCTAATCCTGTGACCCAGTGTGGCTGAGGTGTGGATGTGGTCAACCCTGAGCAATAGAAGTGCCCTCAACTCTCCCGCACCTGTCCTGCCCTTCTGCTTCTGCAGTCACTCTTGGAAATGGCTCTGTTATTAGTCACTTACTCTTTATTCACCTGTTTCCTCCTTAGAGGGTATTTGCACCTGAATGTTTCTCTCTCATTACAGGGTTAAAAAAAAAAAAAGACTTCTCCCTAGGGAAATACATTTGCCATATCACAAGCAAAAGGAGAGTTCATTTTGCCATAGGAGCAGAGAGCTCCTGGGAGCCGGGAAATCCTCGCTTCTCTGTCTCCGTGTGAGACAGGTCCCTGACATGAACATCTCCCTCTGCCAAAGTGCACTCAGACAAGAAAAGAGAACTTTTCTTGTTTTGTGGCAGCTATTTCTCATTGTGGCCTCCTGTGCTTGGCCTGAGACCTTAGCTCCAATGGATAAAATCCATTTTTGACACTGTTCCTGGGTGAAGGAGAAAAGTTAATCTCACAGATGTCTAGATGTTTGTCCTCACTCAAACCAGTTACTAGTCCTCCCACCGGCCTGTGAGGAAACTTCCATTTCCTGAGATGGACACCTGGACTCCAGAATTTTTTGATATCCAACATCTCTCTACATTTCCCGCCTTTCTAGGCATCACCCAAATATTTGAGTTGCACAGATATTTTATTTCTTGTGCTATGTCTTTTTTAATGGGTCTCTCTTGCCTAGAAAGTATGTCTTTCTCCAAGTCACATGGTTAATTTCCTCTGCATCGTATGTTCAGGTGGCACATCCTCAAGGAAGCTTTCCCTGCTTCCCTCAGGAATGCCCACTTAACCCTTCTTTGGGTTCTCATGATTCCCTGTCATTTCAGCATAATTGAACTTTCCCTTTGTTTTATAATCACCAGACTCTTACATTAAGTTTGCTTACAGCTGCTATATTACCTTTCTCTGTATGTTCCAACCCTAGCACAATACTAAAATGTGGATAATATTCAAATGTAGGCTAAGCGAATAAATAATTCAATGAGATACACTCTCAGATGTGCAGAGCCTCCCTCACATCATTCATGCACCAAGAGTAGTAGTGGTAATAGTTATGCCAATATGATTTTCCTAAAATAGAAGTAACACCCTTTTCTTCTGCTCCTCTACCTTTGGGAAAACTCAATTTTTATCAATATTTTGGGAAGTCACAACTTTGCTGATGATGGGTTTTCACACCTGTCAAATGGGTCTAATCCAGTCTGTTCTTGGAAACTCTCAAGATGAGTTATGGATCCAGTGAGAATGATGAAAAGGAGCTTTGCAGAATCAGAGGCACTGCACAAACTATGGCATTATTATACACACCTTTTAAAAGTGTCATGGTGCCATTTAACCTTCTCTTGTTCTGAGAATCATCTTGACCTTAGGAATTCACTCTTCAGTTTGAAGTTGGATAAACAAAAGTAAAGCTTCAACGTCCTTTCTTTAGAATTAAAGAGGAAAGTTGGTGATTATGCATGTTTGTATTCTGCGCTTCTTAGAACTGTTAGCAAGTGTGTCTAGAGAGAGATCAGCTCTCAAGGCCCTATATTTTAAACATCTGTTTTTAAACAATAGATTTCTCTTTAGAGACACTCATTGCTTTGACATTTGTAGATTTGCTGCAATGGAAGGTCAATAACCATGCAGTGTTAGAAAGTATTTCCCCTTTTTGCATGGTCCCTCTGAGGAGAGGTAATTCATACATCTTCTAAAGCCTGAACCATGGCATCACCCAGGTGGAAGGGAAACTTTTAAGGCCAGTGAGCATGGAATCCTCTCATTCCATCCCAATTATGGAAACACCTACACTAAATAGCACATCAAAAATTACAGTGCTTGGCTTTGAATGAGCAGATAGGCATATATCCCTGAATATGCAGTATCTGTACTAACAAAAAAGAAGTCATTCTTGCACCCTTTATAACATTGGTGTCACTTGTATCTTCGCTTCATTTGAAATCCTGAGATTACATTTAATCACTGTTCTTTTTCTCCATTCATTCATTCATTGATTCATACAATAAACATTTATTAAATTTTGACCGTCTGCCAGGGGCTGAGCTAAGTGCTTAAGACCAAGCTCTGGTCTTGCCCAAGGATGAGGCTGACAGCTAACAAGGAAGAAAATGTATCTTTAAACAAAATGATATAAATGACACAAAACAAAAGAAAATGGAGCAAATGGCAGGTCTTCCTTTATAAATATATATATTTAGCTAGGACCTCTAAGACAGGCTTGCTTCTTGAGGGAAATGATATTTAAACTTTGGCTTGAAGGCTGAGTTCTTCAGATGAGTAAAAGAAAGAAGAGAGTGATTTTAATGTAGAAGGTAGAGTGTGCAGTCAAAAGGCTCATGGAGTACAGTGTGTCAACTCGGAATAATAAGTTGTTCAGTGCGGCTGTAGTTTTTGGAAGTGGAGGGGGAGGAATAAGAGATAGGAAAACTCAAGAGAATTTGGGTTTTGGAGGACCTTGACTGCTAATGAGTTTGGCTGTTGTTCAGTGGAGAAGAGGGAATCATTGAGGAATGTTAAGCTACTTCATCACAAGAAATTAGGTGTTTTATCTGAGACTAGAACATCGAAATCCTTGCCATTTTTCTGAGAAGTGGCCTAGGCCAAGTAACACAAAGGATTGGTCTCTCACTCTTTCGTCTTATACCTTAGTCTCTCCAGATGAGTTTTAGAGTACATGAAATCTATTTTATTCTGAGATTGGTATCCTTAACATGAGTTCTGCCTTTTTCTCACTTTAGGAACTGAATATCTTGAGGCACTTACTCCTTATCAGTAACAAACCTATTCACTTTAGGTATGTTTTGGTGTGAAACAAAACCAGAGAATTACTTTTTTAGGATAGAGATTAATAGTATTCATCACATTCAATACTTCTCTCCTTTCTGGCACACAGTAAGTCTTCCCAGCTTCCCTTGCACTTAGTTTGATCCACACAACTAGTTCTGGCCAATGGATTATGAACATAAATGATTAACTGTAATTTCTGATTAAAATACTTTAGACTGGGTATGAGTTTTCTATTTTTTTCCCTCCTGCTGATGCAATACTAGTAGACTCAGTATCAAAATATGACAGAACCTTCATCAGCTGGATTCCAGAATGACCATGTGGAGCAGAGCTACCTGCTGACCTGTGTCAGGAAAGAAGAACCTGAAATTAACCTTTGTTGCATTATGCCACTGAGATTTTAGAATATATTTGTCACCACACTCAGGGAGACATTGAGGATGTTTGGGGCCTGAAGATTATACAATTTGAAGGGTGGGTGCTTTTATAGAAACAGACACAAAACTAACTTACTTTTGCAAAATTTACAAAAGTATATGAACATGAAAACTCATTGCTAGGGCCTTCTTAGGACCTTGGAAGGGGTCTGGATGGTGAGGGGCCCTGGAGCTAAGCTTTTTTAGATTTGTAGTAAATCTACCTCTTCCCACAGCACAGCCTATCTTAATCTACTTTCCTAGAAACATTTGTACCCCAGGCCTATGTTTCATTATAGAAGGGAAAGCTTTTATCTTTGTATAGGGAAATTTATGCATTCCTGTAAAGATAGGGACCATTCTGGAGTAGGGCTCGTGAAGATTCCTTTTCCCTTGAAACTGTTACTTGGGGTGACATCCACACTTGTGTATAAGCCCAATGACACCTTTTGCCTCTTTTGAAAGATAAATATATGTACCTTTGCAGTTGAAGGGGCTAGTTTGCCAAACGGCACAGCTTTTGCCCTCATCGGCTTTGAGAGTTTTCAGATTTCTCTCAGAAATTCTCTGTGATTGATTGATTGATAATAAATCTATTCATTTATTTAATGAATATTTATTGTGTTTGGTATTATTAGAATTGCTAGAAATATCATGATGAACAGTATATACATGGTACCTAACTCCTGAGAGTTAAAAATTTAGAAAATTAATTGATCTATTACTATCAAGATACATGGAACCTTAGTTAATTCTCTTTGATCTGTGGGGTAAGATTGTCCTTCTGAGCCAAATGGGTTCAATGACCTTTGCCCCTTTCCTTCCTTCCATTTGAGGTACTCAAATCAAATGAATTGGGTCATTCATGAAATTTGTTATAGCCTCAGGAAGAAAAGTTCTATTTAAATCCAAATCATTAGCACCAATAAATCTAAAAATAGACATATAAATTCATAATGCATTTAAATAACTCTAAAATAAATATGTGTGTTGATTAAGCAGTGCCATAATTGGAACTCTGTGGGTGGAAGTGGGATGAGGGGGAGATAAAATCACCTTTCTTCTAGTCCTTATTAACCACCAAAATTTAAGAAGTGTTACTTGGAAGAATAATTGTGAGAGCGTCTCTGATTACAAAGGGCAGGCTAATGTGATTAGTTTCTATGAGACATTTTTGCAAACTGTATGTGCATTTCCTTTGAGTCTATTTCTTATTGTTATTGTTAAAATTTTTGTTAAATTGCTAAAATCTCATAGCAGTCGGGTAGCTTTTGTGAGAATAGTGCTAAATGTGGAGCTTGGGTACACTCAGGTAATCATAGAAATATGAATGGTGCTCATGGATTAGCATCCACTTTTTCTCCAATTTCATGCACTTTGTAGGCCGTGGTGCCTCATTCTTATTGTGTGATACATAAAGGCTCAGTACTTAGAGATTTTCTGTTTTTAGTGTGAACCCCTTATTTTCTCCCCAATAAGAGCTATCTTTGTAACACCCACATATTTTAAATTAAAGAAAACATAAATACATGCAAAACTGTCATTGGCTTTTAAGGTATTATATAAGTGATTAAATTTTATCACGAAGAGACAACCAGCTAATGGTTTTAGTAGAACACATAAAACCTCATAAAATCCAAAAGTTAAATTTTGTCATATAATGAGCATCACTTAGAGAAACCAACAGAGTTTCCTTTTCCCCCTGAATAAATTCTAAACAGTCCTTAGAAAATGAATTACTGGACTGCAAATCAGGATGAAATATTTTATAGCTGTAAAACTAAAGCTACTTTCAGACCACTTAGTTGGAGGAGAAAAAAACAGGAGGGAGAGCAACTTGTCAACCCTGTTGTTGTGGCATCCCTGCCAATGGCATCAGATGCTTGGCTCTGCCTCTGCCTCCATTTTAACAGTTTGACCTTGTTTAGAACAACCTGAATCTAATCGCCAGGCCTCCCTCACAATTCCCCCACCCATAATAGAAAGCACACCCCTCCGAGAGCGCATTCAGCTGGAGCTTTGCCAATAGAAGTAATTACATGATGAAACTATTTAACTTTGACTAAAATACTCTCACCAGGTTCTTGCAAACGGTGTGTCTTATATCTTGTTGAAGCAATTTTATATCATGCCTTTAAAGTACAGTAATGGCCCCTTGCATTGACAGAATCCTCGTAAAAGGAGAAGACCAAGACCTGGCTCATGAAGTGGTATTGATTTTCTGAGTTCCTGCTCGAGTTGCCAAAGATACAACACTGTTGTTAGGGAGAAGAGATGCTTTGGCCTTCAATATCACAGGAGGGTTCCTCAGTAAGCACAGGCATCAGGAGGCCACAGTGATAAATAATGTATTGGGGTGATAACTGCCTGTAGTACTTGGTTAGTTTTAAAGTGACTCAGCACTTGTTCATCCCAAATGCTTCTTGATGTCACCGGTGGCTGTGGAGGACTGTTCTATATATAAATAGTGCCCAGACTCTAAGAGAGTGCCTCTTGAGGGTTAATTTACATGAATGATTTATTTTAGGCAGAATTTTCTAAATTTTAATCACTAAGAACAATGAACAGATTCAACTTCTAGCTAGAGTGATGGCTTCAATTTGTTGCTTAAAGAGAGTTTAAACATGTCTGCAGATCCGTAACTATATCTAATACAGGTTAAGTTAGTTTTTAGTCATTTCTAGTAAGTCCATGTGAAAAAGATTTATAACCTTGAGCATAGCTCTACATATGTCATTACAGACAGCAAGCAAAGGAAGCCAAGCATCTTGATCAGACGCTTGCAAAATATACATTTATACCGACCTACTTAAGTGCATACAACTTAATCTTCACTTTTTTCCATTTTACATTGATAAACTGCACAATGTCTAATATTGAATAAAAGTAGGAAGATGGATCTCTGACAATTTTCAAGAAAAATTGAAAGTTATGTTTTTTAATCTGTTGAGAATATGAATACCTATACTCAAAAACTTTTTTTCCCTTTGGCGGTGATGGGGGATGTGCTACAGAGATGCAAATAATAGGAATAGCATTATATTGACATGGTTCTGAACCACACAGTATGTGTCCTTAACTCCAGCCCTCACAGGGCTCATATGAGCACCCTATGAGAGGGAACCAGCAAGCACATGTGGTCACCTCTCACTCAGAAGACAGAGAAGGAAAACAAGAAGCAGAGGAAAAAACTGCAGCCCCTCTGTTAATTAAAAAGATATTGCCCATTCGTTTCTCTCTCCTCCCGGTTCCAACAAAAAGGAGGCCCTAGCAATTTGACTGTGATCAGGTGTACAGGTTGTACACTGCTTAATTTTCAGGAATTTCACTAAAGTCACAGGGCTTTTATTGAAACACCTTTGTTTGGTGGACGGGGTACTGTCTGCTTTGTAGTCTGCATGAACAGTGTCACTGGAATCATGCAGTGCTCAGCCAGCATGGACATATGCAGCCACCATGGTGGAAGAGAAGTGATGTAATGAGATGTTCCTGCCTCAACCTCCTCATCCTCACTGGAAGCTGTTAGAGGCCACAGATAACTCCAGCCTGGTCTTGGGAGAGAAGAACTTAGAATCAAAGCTGAAATTGAAGTTTTAAAATAAATAGGAGTGGGTCTTAAATGAGGCAATTCTAACTACCAAAAGGAACTGCAGACTTAGGAAATCAGACCAAGATGTTAAGAGAATGATTTACCAGGGGAAGAAGACAGTTGGACATGGTAGAATTAGGGGTCAGCTATAGAAAAGAAATTAAACTGTTTTGTTTCCACTTCAATGTGTTACAACACATGTAAAATGAGGTACATATGAAATGAGGAGATTATGGCTTTTATTTACTGCAGTCAGATAGTATTTTTTTCAGGTCCAAATCCATACTGATTTTCTCATGAGGCTAAGAAAAGTTACTTGCCTGGAAATCAGCTTTGCTCGAGTTTGTACTCCACTTCCAGTAACAAGGTTTTCTCCTTGTCCTATGACTGCTGTGCATCCTATTTCCAAGGATGGGCTATCACTTACTCCTCGGTCAGAATCCAGTCTTTTTGTGTTTCTGTATAACCTAATGCCTTCACAGCTGTGATCCTAATTTACTCTAAACAGTTGACTGAATCTCCCTCCTTTATCAGGGCCTTACTTTATCTGATGCCAACAATGTAAGGGCTCATTGAAATTCATATGGAGAGCCCCTCAAGCTAATTGATGTTGTTGGAGATGAGTTGGTGCAGGGCCTTTGAGGGCCTTGCTGTTTGGTCAGCAGCCTCTCAAGACACTGCATACCTTATTTCAGGTGGAAGGAAGCATTTTGTCAGTCCCAATACCACCCAACACTTACCATGTGGTTGCCAAGGAATGCTGTGATTCGTGGAGATGATCATGTTCTTGTTCTAAATGTTCTGTCATCTTAGATGGACGATCTAAGGATAGTTAAGGGTCCATTAGCCTGGGGCAAATGAGGAGGCGGTGCCCTCTGCAACTTGATGGAGGTCAGCTAAGGACAAATGAAAGATAACACTAATTCACACAGTGGGTAATAAAATGAGGGACCTCATTATCCTAAAAGGTGATACTGGCAGGAAATATAAATGGATTTTAAAAGGGTTTGGACAAATTTATGAATGACAGATTCATAAATGGTTCTAGAGAGAAGTGGGATGCAGTCAACCTTTAAGGTAGATGTCAGAGAGGACAGTCATGCCTTCTTGGGCCCTGCCCCTTAGAGCTTCTCTTGGCAATAGGACCTAGAATTGGAGGGAACACAGGCATGGGTGATCAGTCTATTCCAGGCTGAGAAACACAAAGGCAGCAGCATGATGTGCTGGGGAGAATATGGGCTTTGGAGCCACACTACATTTCAGCTAGGTATCTCTGGGAAAAGTCAGGTGTCTGAAAAAAGGAGGAATAACATGCAATATGCACCTTGTCCAGTTTTGGGGATCAAAGAAATTATGTGTAAACTCTATTACGAGTCTAATACATGGTATGCACTCAAAAATTATAACTACCACTATTTAAGTAAATCCATGGAAATGAAAATGACACTCTTTGCTACTTTCCAAGCACAGTCACTTGTGCTGGGCTGGTAGATTCATCACATAATTATAAATAGTGCCCATAACTAGATATTTCATCTATGGAATTTGCATATTTTAGAAGACCATTACCCAGGGAATCTTGGTAAGCTGACATTGCTTTGAAGAGATTGATTCCAAGAGCAGCCTTAGGTATTGTGATTCCTTGATGTAATTTCAGAGACTTTGGAAAGTATTAGGTATCCACACCCCAGTCTCACGCCTCTTCCACGTCTTACCTCTTTGCAGAATTTTTTATATAAAGGACAAGACTTCTTATAGCTTTGAAAGTTTTCCAGATTCCTTTTTGAGGAAAGAAAAGATACATCTAATGAGAACTGCTCATCAGCATCACAGCCACTACCACCCTGCTGAAGAATTTGAACTTTGAGAAGTTTACCAAAAATAAATAAATAAAAATGTAAAAATCTTTGTAATGCTAAAGTTGATAAGATTTAGAGGTAGGTGACACATTTGTTTAGGAAATTACTCTGAGGAGTTCTATTTCCTGAGAAGGAAAAACTCTTCTGAACTTAATGAAAATAATTAAGAGAAAGCAATCACATAGTTTTGTAAAATGTATTCACCAAGTAATTTAAAAAATATATATAATTTGTGTTTTACAGTGGCAGTCAATAAAGGAGAGGGACAAGAGCCTTTTGCTTCAGTGTCTAGGGAACAAAATGACCAGTAAGAAATTTCCTGGGACAGGGATGGCCAAAGGACTTAAAGATTAATGATATTTGGTTTTCTATTTTAGGTTGTTCTTATTTTGTGCTATGCCATGGCCTCTTCTGTTTTACCCAAACTATAAATTAAAGTTAGGCACACACAATAACTTTGTACTGATACAGTGCCTGAGAGAACGAAAAGCACAGAGATGAGGATGCACATGGATTGGTAAAGTGGTCTAGGAAAGAGGAGTAGTCTGAGAAGGCATGACTGTATATGTAAAGGAATCAATGGGAGTGACCAAGAAAGTAAGACTCCTCTTTTTTTCCTGGACATTCCCAAATATTTTCAGGATCGAACTACTTTTCCATGTGTAGGACTGGGCTGAGTCATTTCATTAGGACATTTAGAGAGGAATATGACCCTAAAAAGTGGGAGGAGGACTTGGGACAATCATATTATATGGATGTTATCAGTCAAATCCCATTGAAATGAATGAAACTTTAAGATCCCAAAGTTGATGATATATGTTAATTTAACCACTGTAAATTATGGAGACATGTACCAAAGCAAATAATACAAGTCAAATTAATATTATTATTTACACATGCACAGTGCTTGAAACTTTACAAAATACTTTCATCTCTATTATATATTTGACTAAACCACCCTCTGAAATAGGTAGCAAATTATGGCAATTTTATATTTTACCAAATGTAGGTACCCAGAAATCTCATCTTTCAAGAAGTTATACTTCACTGTATGCAGGTAATGCTTTGGATATTTTTTTAGGTTAAACATTTGACTCACAGAGTTGGTTAGAGAACCCACATGGAATGAAATGTTGGTTTTGTTACAATTTGTGAACCCTGGTATTCAACATTAATTTAGAAAATGTAGAGGGGACATTTGCTGAGCCAAATACACAGGTCTCTGGTATCTTGGACACACAGAACAATATGTAAAGTAATAGCAAAAACAAACAGCTTAGGAAAAGCAAAGCAAGGTATTTTTGTAATTCCTGAAAAGGATTTACAACCTATATAAACATGAATCATAAACCCATCGGCAAATAGATCCAAGCTCTTTCAGGAAGATGTTTCGTTGATATATGGGAACCAAAAACTCAGGATAAGAGAGAGGGTCAACAACAAAAAAAAAGATTCACATTACTCAAAACACATAATACCGTGGTAAATGATTATTCTGACATTTTAGTTATAGATATTTGATTTTAATTTCCTCAGCACCTGTGCTCACTTTCTAGGGAGAAGGCATGCCAGTAATCCTCTCAGAATTTGGGGGGTTATATATCCTTATGGAAGGCCTCCGCTTTAAAATATTAGAAAAGTTCCTCTATTAACTTTCTCCTGTATGCCCACTAGAATGTGTCAAATTGTCTCTATTAAGTGGGACATAAAGGCATCTAATCCAAGCTTTGTGACATACTAGGTGAGTGGCCTTGAACAAGTTGCTTATATTCATCCATTTATTCAATTAATCAGTAGATATTTATTGATTTCCTATCACATTTTAAACACCATATTTATCACAATGGTCAAAGTGAACATGAGAAAACATAGCACTTACCGTTTAGGAAAGTGCTTGAAATAGGAAAGAAGAGTTTAGAATAGTGTCTGGCATCCAGGAGGTCCTCTAATAAATGTGTCTAATGAATAAAAGAAAACCCGGAAAATATGCAAGTAAAAAAAAGAAAGAAATGCACATACATACATACAGACAGACACACACATGTCTTTAATATGTTAGTGTATATTCAGACTGTTTTTCATGAATATGGAAGCATCTATGAGTTGAGTTTATGCTATACATACATACTGTTTTGCAATTTGATTTTTCTTCTCTTAATAAAATACATACTGAACATTATTTAACACTAATATTAGTTAATACTTTCTCATAAGCTAACCATTTTAGTTTTTCTGAAAAATTTCCTGCAGAAATGATAAACATCCCTTTCTTGTTCTACCTTCTACCTTAAGTTTAAGTTTCATGGTCTTTCACACTTTTCACACATTGATTTATGCACATTTTATTTAATCATATAGGGATTTTATTTTTGTTTTACATAGATAGTTTATATATGTATGTGTGTGTGTATATATATATATTTATGTATCTATGTATGTATGAATATGAAATGTGCTTTTTAAACATATATCATGGATACCCTTCAGATCAAAAGGACCTGGATAATATGAATTGAATACTATATCATGATATAAATAAACAAGTTTATTCACTTGTTTCCCCACTGATAATTATTCGGATTATGTTCCCTATTTTTTTTTTTTTTTTTTTTGAGACAGTCTTGCTCTGTCACCCAGGCTGGAATGCAGTGGAGCAATCTCAGCTCACTGTAAACTCTGCCTCCTGGGTTCAAGCAATTCTCCTGCCTCAACCTCTGAAGTAGCTGGGACTACAAGCATATACCACCATGCCCGGCTAATTTTTGTTTAGTAGAGATGGTGTTTCGTCATGTTGGCCAGGCTGGTCTCGAACTCCTGACCTCAAGTTATCTGCCCGTCTTGGCTTCCCAAAGTGCTGGGGTTACAAGCGTGAGCCACCTTGCCCAGCTCCACTTTTTTAAACCAATTTAAAAAGTTTCCCAATAAATGTGTTTGTAATATATCCTTGAGGACTGATATTTCTACAGGATAGAATCACAGAAGAACAATTCCTGAGATAGAAGTCTTTATTTTTAATAAATATTGACAAATTGTCTTCCAAAATGCTTAGGAATCCATATTTTATCAGTAGCGTATAAGAGAACAATTTTCCCCACATCCATAGCAGCACCATGCACTGTCCTGGCATGAACTTTCAGGGACTCTCTTGGCTGAGAAGACAGTTATACACGGTTGCCTCTGCCGGGATTCTAGGCCCTCTGTAACATGAATTCAATTTAACATTTGGGTATTACTCCTCATTACTGTTCTGTTCTACAGAAACCCTTCATTTTAGCCAAAGTAATTGCATTGTTTCTAAAACCAATTTCATCTCTTCTTATTCTTTCCCCTTTGCCCAGGGCTATTCTTCCACATCCTCTTGGGTTTTTCTCCCATTCTGCCACCTCTCTCCTTCTGTTAAATTTTTCCCTGCTCTTCAAACTCCATGTATTCTCTCAGTGCTCTTGAAACCCTCAACTGTGTTCCTCTCCACACTTTTTATTCACGATATGTCATTCATGCCTGTTTTGTGGCATTTTTGTATATTTTATCATATACAGTTCTTTATGTACTTGCTCATTGCCCATAATAAGCAGTAACATCTCTGAAGACAGAGGATGTGTCTCCTCATTAGTATTTTTCATATTGACACTTTAATTTTTATCAAATTGAATTGAGGGATTAATGAGATATTCCATTGTGCTCATTAAATGCAGGGAAAAAGGCAAAAGCAGCATTAAGAAATTGAGTATATTTCACATGCAAGTTACTAGGAGAATGAGGACTCCTTTCTTTCAAAATCAGGAACAAGAGGAGAACACAGTTTGGAGATGAAATTAATATATTTGGGCGGGATTCATTTCGGTACCATCGGCCATCCAGGTGGCAGTATACAAAAGGAGGTGGCTGCACGTAATGCTTATTTTAGAGAGAGCTGGAACTTAAAATACAAAGATACACTTTTCTCAATTTATTTCATATTTCATTTTATACATTTTGAGGCCAGACTGAGGTAGCACATGGGTAATAAATAGGTGAAATGATTACTTTCTATGTGTAAACACTGTGTGAAGTGAAATTGGGTAAGAAACTGGCTAACAGGTTTCAATCTCCCGTTATTCATTACAAAGATCACATAGTGGAAATCTTATTTTCTCAAGAGAGGCAAGTTGGTGATAGTCACACTTCTGTTCCTTTGTTTTGTGAATATTGCTCTTGGTTCTCTCTAGGGCTGGCTGACGTTCAGTAGCTGTCCCATGCCTGTGTGGTCATTTATGTTTTACAAGATATTGAAATCCTTCCCCATTGAATGTTAGATCATTTATGCCCCATGGGAGTGCCTTCTTGCCATTACCCTGAAATCCGAAACCCCACTCTTAGAACCACTTTTTCCTCACTGCCTCCTCCCATCTTCTTAACCTCAGACTTCCTCAAGATCTGACAACTAAATGTTGATACCTGACAAGGTAGAGCTCTCGATGATCTGGTTATAGCTCTGGGCCTGGTGGGGTCTACACACAACTGGATTATCCCCAGATTCTCAGCCATCACATCTTTGAATCCACACAAAGCATGGTTGAGGTGCCCCCTCTCTTATTTGAACAATGAGTTCATCACTTGTCCATCTGAACATGAACCTTCTGCATCCATAGAGTGCTACGCAGTCTCAATAAGTGGTTAATACATTAAACCGGAGCTACAAAAGCTCGTGATGTTGAAGAGGTTCATTGTAAAAAAATACTGTAAAAAATTATCTCAGAGAGGACAAATATATGCAAACCCTGTTTGTTTCCATGTTTGCATTTAAAAGTGGCGAAGGCTACTTAATGAGAGATGACAAAGAATGCCCATTTGTGAATTTAAATCTGATTTGTTTTAGTATAGTTTTTACCAAGTAAAGCACTGAGGGAAGCTCTGTGCTACTGCTGTTACTGGTGTTATTTAACTTATCTGTACTTTCTAATAAAAAAGGTGAAGAAATAAAAAACTATTGATCTTTATTTATTGACTTCCTTGTGAGGATAGTTAAAGTTGACACAGATCAATCACAATAAAGCTAAATGGATGATATAGTGTAACACAACCTAGGGTTGCAAGTGGAGTTTTAATTATGGGAACATTAATGTTTTTCTGCATGCAAATTGGGTAGGAATGGGATTTTCTAAGTACACAGGGACCAGGGAACAGAGTTTACAGAATTCTTACCATCTCCACACATGCTTCAGCAAAGTTTCCAGCTCCTTGGGGAGCAGAGAAAAGGAGGAAGAAAAGGAAGTCAAATAGCCATTTCTCAAATTTCTCATTAAATCTGTGTTTTACCCTGTTCCTCTTTGGAAATCCTAAATGAGATTAATATCTGACATTGTTAAGAAAGAGAAAAGGGAGATACACAAAGGTGGTGAAGCAGCCTACCAAAAGCAGAATATCAGCCTTGAGCTTCAAAGAAATATTGTAAATAATTAGAAAATATTGTAGCTTCAAGTGCACACATCAACCCCATACACCACATCAGGAGAGTCATTTTCCCTCTGCTTTTTACTCTCATCACTTTTCTATGTTTCTAAGCTGTCAGGGGAAAAAAACAATCTCTGTTGGAAGAAAAGAATGTTACCAATGGAGAGTTCTCATCTTCTTTTTTATATTTTATTTTTATTTATTTATTTTAATTTTTGTGGGTGCATAATAAGTGTATATATTTATGGCTTACATGAGATAAGGCATGCAACATGTAATAATCACATCAGGATAAATGTATTTATTTTTTGTGTTACGAACAATGCAATTATATCTTCTAGTTATTTAAAAATGTACAATTAAATCATTTTTTACTATAAACACCCTGTTGTGCTAGGAAATAGGTCGTATTAGTTCTTTCTATCTACTTTTTTGGTACCCATTAACCATCCCTACTCCCCCAAAACCACTGCCCTTCCCAACTCTGGTATCCATCTTTCTACTCTCTATCTCGTTGAGTTCAAATATTTTCATATGTATCTTTCACAAATAAATGATAACATGCAAACTTTGCCTTTCTGTGCCTGGGCTATTTCACTTAACATAATAACCTCCAGTTCCATCCATGTTATTGCAACTAACAAGGTCTCATTCTTTTTTATGACTGAATAGTACTCCATTGTGTATGTTTACTGCATTCCATTATCCATTCATCTGTTGACGGACACTTCAGTTGCTTCCAAATCTTAGCTATTGTGAATAGTGCTGCAGTAAGCATGAGAGTGCAGATATCTCTTCAATATACTGATTTTCTTTCTTTTGGGCACATACCTAGATGTGGGCGGAGGATTACCTAGGTGCCGAGGCAAGAGACTGAAGGCACAAACTGTTCCAGTATAATAAAGAAAATAGTTAGAATAAGAATAGTCATAATACAAATTAGATATAGAGATGATCATGGACAATTATCAATCATTATTATAAACATTATTAATCATTAGCTTTTAATATTACTCTTTGTTGCATTACTAATATAACCTAGAAATAACTGGCGGGTATAGGGTCACGTGCTGAAGGGACATTGTGAGAAGTGACCTAGAAGGCAAGAGGTGAGCCTTCTGTCATGCCCACATAAGGGCCACTTGAGGGCTCTTTGGTCAAGCGGTAAAGCCAGTGTCTGGGAAGGCACCCGTTACTTAGCAGACCGCGAAAGGGAGTCTCCTTTCCTTGGAGGAGTCAGGGAACACTCTGCTCCACCAGCTTCTTGTGGAAGGCTGGATATTATCCAGGCCTGCCCGCAGTCATCCAGAGGCCTAAACCGCTCCCTGTGGTGCTGTGCTTCAATGGTCATGCTCCTTGTCCACTTTCATGCTCCTCCCATACTCCTGGTTCCTCTTTGAAGTTCGTAGTAGATAGCAGTAGAAGAAACAGTGAAAGTCTTAAAGCCTTTGAGCTTTCTTATAAGTGCAGAGAAGAAAACGCTGACATATGTTGCCTTCTCTCTCTGCTTCAGCTACCTAAAAGGGAAGGGTCTCCTATCCTGTAATCACATGACTTCCTTCACCTTGTCAATCACTTAGAAGATTCGCCCTCCTTACCCTGCCCCCTTGTCTTGTATGCAATAAATATAATCCAGCCCAGACTTTCGAGGCCACTACCGGTCTCTGCATCTTGATGGTAGTGGTCCCCTGGGCCCAGCTGCTTTCTCTTTACCTCTTTGTCTTGTGTCTTTATTTATTACAATCTCTCGTCTCCGTACACGGGGAGAACACCTGCTAAGCCCCGCAGGGCTGGACCCTACACCTAGGAGTGAGATTGCTGGATTGTATGATAGCTAAAGTTTTAGTTTTTTGAGGAACCTCCAAAATTCTTCACTGTAAATTAGTGGTTATACTAATTTATGTTTCCACCAACAATTTATGATGGTTCTCTTTTCTCCACATTTTTGTCAGCATTTGTTATTGGCTGACTTTTAGATAAAAGCCATTTTAAGTGGAGTGAGATGATATCTCATTATAATTTTTATTTCCATTTCCCTGATGATCAGTGATGTTGAGCACCTTTTCATACACCTGTTTGCCATTTGTCTTCTTTTGAGAATTGTCTATTCAGATCTTTTGCCTATTTTTTGTTTTTTTTTAATGAAGGAAAAAAGGTATATACTTTAATATACTACTTAGATACATTAGATAATATTATAACACAGCTCCCTCTCCTGTTGTCCTTCTTTATACTTGAGCCTTTTGTCCCAATTATTTAATTGAACCTAAAATTTTAAAGTTCTCTTAGAATAAATCTTTACTTTGACAAATAGCAAGATTAACTATTTTTTAAATTTAATTTAATTTTATTTTATTATTATTATACTTTAAGTTTTAAGGTACATGTGCACAATGTGCAGGTTACTTACATATGTATACATGTGCCATGCTGATGTGCTGCACCCATTAACTCATCATTTAGCATTAGGTATATCTCCTAATGCTATCCCTCCCCCTCCCCCCACCCCACAACAGTCCCCAGAGTGTGATGTTCCCCTTCCTGTGTCCATGTGTTCTCATTGTTCAATTCCCACCTATGAGTGAGAACATGTGGTGTTTGGTTTTTTGTCCTTGCGATAGTTTACTGAGAATGATGATTTCCAATTTCATCCATGTCCCTACAAAGGAGATGAAATCATCATTTTTTATGACTGCATAGTATTCGATGGTGTATATGTGCCACATTTTCTTAATCCAGTCTATCATTGTTGGACATTTGGGTTGGTTCCAAGTCTTTGCTATTGTGAATAGTGCCGCAATAAACGTACGTGTGCATGTGTCTTTATAGCAGCATGATTTATAGTCCTTTGGGTATATACCCAGTAATGGGATGGCCGGGTCAAATGGTATTTCTAGTTCTAGATCCCTGAGGAATCGCCACACTGACTTCCACAATGGTTGAACTAGTTTACAGTCCCACCAACAGTGTAAAAGTGTTCCTATTTCTCCACATCCTCTCCAGCACCTGTTGTTTCCTGACTTTTTAATGATAGCCATTCTAACTGGTGTGAGATGGTATCTAACTGGTGTGAGATGGTATCTCACTGTGGTTTTGATTTGCATTTCTCTGATGGCCAGTGATGGTGAGCATTTTTTCATGGGGTTTTTGGCTGCATAAATGTCTTCTTTTGAGAAGTATCTGTTCATGTCCTTCGCCCACTTTTTGATGGGGTTGTTTGTTTTTTTCTTGGAAATTTGTTTGAGTTCATTGTAGATTCTGGATATTAGCCTTTTGTCAGATGAGTAGGTTGCGAAAATTTTCTCCTATTTTGTAGGTTGCCTGTTCACTCTGATGGTAGTTTCTCTTGCTGTGCAGAAGCTCTTTAGTTTAATTAGATCCCATTTGTCAATTTTGGCTTTTGTTTCATTGCTTTTGGTGTTTTAGACATAAAGTCCTTGCCCATGCCTATGTCCTGAATGGTAATGCCTAGGTTTTCTTCTAGGGTTTTTATGGTTTTAGGTCTAACGTTAAAGTCTTTAATCCATCTTGAATTAATTTTTGTATAAGGTGTAAGGAAGGGATCCAGTTTCAGCTTTCTACATATGGCTAGCCAGTTTTCCCAGCATCATTTATTAAATAGGGAATCCTTTCCCTATTGCTTGTTTTTCTCAGGTTCGTCAAAGATCAGATAGTTGTAGATATGCGGCGTTATTTCTGAGGGCTCTGTTCTGTTCCATTGATCTAGCTCTCTGTTTTGGTACCAGTACCATGCTGTTTTGGTTACTGTAGCCTTGTAGTATAGTTTGGAGTCAGGTAGCGTGATGCCTCCAGCTTTGTTCTTTTGCTTTTGCCCATTTTTAAATTGAATTATTAGATTTTTTTCATACAAAGTTGTTTGAGCTCCTTATATATTCTGGTTAATAATCCTTTGTCAGATGGGTAGTTTGCAAATATTTTCTCCCATTCTATGAGTTGTCTCTTCACTTTGTTGATTGTATCTTTTGCTCTGCAGAACCTTTTTAACTTGGTGAGAACCCATTTGTCCATTTTTGCTTTGGTTTCCTGTACTGGTAGGGTATTTCTCAAGAAATCTTTGCCCAGTCCAGCTTCCTGGAGAGTTTCCCCCAATGTTTTCTTTTAATAATTTCATAGTCTGAGGTCTTAGGTTTGCATCTTTAATCTATTTTGATTTGATTTTTGTATATGGCAAGAGCTCGGGGTCTAGTGTCATTCTTTTGCATGTGGATATCCAGTTTTCCCAGCATCATTTATTGAGGAAACTGTCCTTTTCCCAATGTATATTCTTGTCATCATTGTCAAAAATGAGTTCACTGTAGATGTATGGGTTTATCTCTGGGTTCTCTATTCTGTTCTGCTGATCCATGTATCTGTTTTTATGCCAGTACTGTGCTGTTTTGGTTACTGTAGCTCCGTAGTATAATTTAAAATAAGGTAATGCCATTCTTCCAGTTTTATTCTTTTTGCTTAGGAGAGCTTTGGCTATTATGGGTCTTTTGTGGTTCTATATACATTTTAGGATTTTTTTCTATTTATGTGAAGAATGTCATTGATAGTTTGATAGGGATTGCATTGAATCTGCAGATTGCTTTGGGTAGTATGGACATTTTAACAAAGTTGATTTTTCCAATCCATGAACATGGAATATCTTTCAATTTTTTGCTGTCCTCTTCAATTTCTTTCATCAGTGTTTTATAGTTTTTATTGTAGAGATCTTTCACATCTTTGGTTAAGCTAATTTCTAGCTATTTAATTTTATTTGTGGCTATTGTAAATGGGATTACTTTCTTGATTTCTTTTTCAGAATGTTCACTGTGGCATATAGAATGTTACTAATTTTTGTATGCTGTTTTTGTATCCTGCAACTTTACTGAATTTGTTTATCAGTTCTAATAGTATTATGGTGGAGTCTTTAGGTTTTTCCAAATATGAGAGATCATATCCCCTGCAAACAAGGATAATTTGACTTATCTCTTTCCAATTTGGAGGTCCTTTCTTTCTTTCTCTTGTCTGATTGCTCTAGCTAGGGCTTCCAGTATTATGTTGAGTAACAGTGGTGAAAGTGGGCATCCTTGTGGTATTCCTTATCCTAAAGGAAAGACTTTCAGTTTTTCCCCATTCAGTATGATACTAGCTATGGGTTAATCCTATATGGCTTTTATTATGTTGAGATAAGTTCCTTTTATACCAAGTTTTTTTGAGAAGGCTTTTTTTTTTTTTGTCATCAAGGGATGTTGAATTTTGTCAAATGCCTTTTCGGCATTAATTTAAATGATCATATGTTTTTTGCCCTTCATTCTGTTGATATGATGTATCACATTAATGATTTACATATGTTGAACCATCCTTGCATTCCTGGGATGAATTCCATGTCATCATGATTAATGACCTTTTTAATCTATTGTTATATTTGGTTTGCGAGTATTTTGTTGAGAGTTTTTACACCAATATGCATCAGTGATATTGACCTGTAGTTTTTTTTTTTGAGACAGAGTCCTGCTCTGTCACCCAGGCTGGAGTGCAGTGGTGCCATCTTGGCTCACTGCAAGCTCTGTGTCCCAGGTTCATGCCATTCTCCTGCCTCAGCCTCCCGAGTAGCTGGGACTACAGGTGCCCCCCACCACACCCAGCTAATTTTTTTGTATTTGTAGTAGAGATGGGGTTTCACCATGTTAGCCAGGATGGTCTCAATCTCCTGACCTCATGATCTGCCCTCTTGGCTGCCCAAAGTGCTGGGACTACAGGCGTGAGCCATCACACCCGGCCAGTTTTTTTTTTTTTTTTTTAAATGTGTCTTTGTCTGGTTTTGGTATCAGGATAATACTGGCCTCATAAAATGAGTTTGGAGGTATTTTCTCCTCCTCTGTTTTTCAGAATAGTTGAGTATGATTGGTGTTAGTTCTTTAAATGTTTGGTAGAATTCAGCAGTGAAGCCCTCAGGTCTTGGGCTTTCCTTTGCTGAGATACTTTTTACTTGATCTTGTTACTTATTAAGGTCTGTTCGGGTTTTAGGTTTCTTCATGTTTCAATATGTAGGTTGGATGTGTCTAGGGATTTATCAATTTCTCCTAGTTTTTCCAATTTATTGCCATATAGTTGCTCATAGTAGCCACTAATGATCAGTTGAATTTCTGCAGTGTCAGTTGTAATGTCTACTTTTTCATCACTGATTTTATTTATTTGGGTCTTCTCTCTTTTTTCTTAGTATGGCTAGAGGTTTGTGAATTTTGTTGGTCTTTTCAAAAAACAACTTTTTGTTTCCTTGATCTTTTGTGTTTTATTTTTTAATTTCAATTTCATTTATTTCTGCTCTTATTTTTATTTTTATTATTTCTTTTCTTATACTAATTTAGGGTTTGGTTTTCTCTCACTTTTCTAGTTCTTTAAGGTGCATCATTAGGTTATTTATTTGAAGTTTTTTCTCTTTGTTGATGTAGGCACTTATAACTATAAACTTCCCTCTTAGTACTGCTTCCGCTGTATCTCTTAGGTTTTAGTATGTTGTGTTTCCATTTTCATTTGTTGCAATTAACTTTTCAGTTGCCTTCTTAATTTCTTCATTGACCCACTTGTCATTCAGGAATGCATTGTTAATTTTCATGTGTTTCTCTAGTTTTGAATATTCCTCTTGTTATTTGTTTCTAATTTTATTCCATTGTGGAAGAAAAGATGGTTGATATATTTTTGGGGTTTTAAAAAATGTTTTAAGACTTATTTTGTGACCTAACATATGGTCTGCCTTTGAGAATAATCCATGGGCTGAGGAAAAGAATGTGTATTCTGAAACCGTTGGATGAAATGTTCTGTAAATATCTATTAGGTTCATTTGGTCTATAGTGTAGATTAGGTTCAATATTTCTTTGTTTTTCTGTCTAGAGTATCTATCCAAAGCAGAAAGTGTAGTGTTGGAGTCTCCAGCTATTATTGTATTGGTGCCTATCTCTCACTTTAGCTTTAATAATGTTTGCTTTATATATCTGGGTGCTCTGGCATTGGGTGCATATATATTTACATTTGTTATATTCTGTTGCTGAATTGACCTCTTTGTCATTATATAGTGGCCTTCTTTGTTTCTTCTTATGGTTTTTGTCTTGAAATTTACTTTGTCTGATATAAGCATATCTCCTCCTGCTCTTTTTTCATTTTTATTAACATGGAATATCTTTCCATTCTTTTATTTTTGGTCTGTGTGCATCTTTATATGAATTGTGTGTCTTGTAGGCAACAGATCATTGGATCTTTCTTTTTTTTTTTATTCATACAGCCACTCTATGTCTTTTGATTAGAGAGTTTTTCCATTTATATTCAACATTATTATTAATAAGTAGGAACTTATTTCTGCCATTTTGTTATTTGCTTCTGGTTGTTCTGTGGTCTTCTCTTCTTTCTCTCCTCATTTTCCTTTTAGTGAAGGTGATTTTCTCTGGTGGTACAATTTAATTTCTTACTTTCTTGTGTATATATTCATTGTATGCTTTTCAATTTGAGGGTATTTACTATAAGGCTTGAAAATAATATCTTATCACCCATTATTTTAAGCTAATAACAAAAATATTTGCATAAACAAATAAGGAAAAAGTAAAGTAATACAAACTCTACACCTTAACTTCATTTTCCCACTTTTTAACTTTTTTTGTTTCTATTCATATCTGATTGTACTATGTCTTGAAAAGTTGTAGTTTTTATTTTTGATTGGTTCATCATTTAGTCTCTCTATTTAGGATAGTTTACACACCACAGTATACAGTGTCCTTTGGGAGTTTCGTTATTAAATGCCTTGAGGTAGGCAAAATCTGCTTGGGTTAAATTTTCTTGCTGTTCTATAACTTTCTTGCACCTGGATATTGATATCTTTCTCTAGGTTTGGGAAGTTACTCATTATTATCCTTTTCTACCCCTATCTCTTTCCTCTTTTAGGCCAATAATTCTTAGATTTGTCTTCTTGAGGCTATTTTCTAGATCCTGTAGGTATGCTTCATTGTTTTTTATTCTTTTTTCTTTTGCTTCTTCTGACTGTGTATTTTCAAATGGCTTCAAGCCACTAATTCTCCTGTTTGATCAATTATTCTATTAAAAGACTGTGATATACTCTCTAGTATGTCAATTGCATTTTTCAACTCCAAATTTTCTGCTTGATTCATTTTATTTTAATGTCTTTGTTAAATTTGTCTGATAGAATTCTGAATTCTTTCTGTGTTATCTTAAATTTCTTTGAATTTCTTCAACACAGCTCTTTTGAATTCCCTGTCTGAAAGGTCACATATCTCTTTTTCTCCAGGGGTGGTCCCTGGTGCCTTGTTTAGTTCATTTGATGAGATCATGTTTTCCTGGATGATCTTGATGCTTGTGGATGTTTGACTGTGTCTGGAAGTTGAAGAGTTATTCCTTGTAGTCTTTGCATTTTGGGCTTGTTTGTACCCATCCTTCTTGGGAAGACTTTCCAAGTATTCAAAAGGATGCAGGTGTTGTGATCTAAGCTGTATCTGCATTAGAGGGCACCCTAAGCCCAGTAACTCCATAGTTTTTGCCTGCTCATAGAGGTACTGCTTTGATAGTCTTGGTTAAGATCTCGAAGAATTATCTCGATGACCAGGCAGAGACCCCTGTTCTCTCACCTTACTTTCTCCCAAACAAACAGCCCCCCACCCCCCACTCTCTCTCTCTCTTTTCTGAGCTGCCTGCAGCTGGGGCTGGGGAAGGTGTGACACAAACACCCCTGTGGCCACCACCACTGGGACTGTGCTGGGTTAGACCCAAAGCCAACATGACACAGGGTCTTACTCAAGGCCCACTGTAACCACTATTTGGCTACCACCTATGTTCACTCAAGGCTCTGAGCTGGTCAGCAGGTGGCAAAGTGAGACAGTGTTGTGTCCTTCCCTTCAGGGCAATGAGTTCCTCCAGGCTCCAGGCAGGTCCAGAGGTGCCATCTGGGATCCAGAGACTGTAGTAAAAATCCTTAGAAGTCTACCTGGTATTCTATTGTACTGTGGCTGAGCTTGCATTCAAACCATAAGACTCTGTTCTTTCCATTCTTCCCTCCCACCCCTCATTGCATGGCTGTGATCCCAACAAGTCCATGGGGAGTACTGTCAGGCTATTGCTGTTGTTTCCTTAAGTTCCAAAGGCTCTTTAGTCAGCTTGTGGTGAATGCTGCCTGACCTGAGACTCATCCTTTTGGGCAGTAGGCTCTCCTCTGACCCAGGGTAGATACAGAAAGGCCATCCAAGAGCAAAGGCCTGGAATTGGGGAACCCAGTAACCCACTTGGTGTTCTACCCCTGTGTGGCCAAGCTAATACCTCAGGTGCAAGACAAAGTCTTATTTACTTTGCCCTGTTATTTTCTTGAGGAGAAGGAGTCTCTTTCTATATTTACCGCAGGTTGGAATGTGCTGAGTCTCACCTGAAGCTAGCAAGTCTCAGAGTCTCACCCATGGCCCATGACATACTACCTAGGTATTACTGCTGGTTATCCAGGGCCCAAAGGCTCTTTATTCAGCAGGTGATGTGTTCTGCCAGGACTGGGTCTTTATCCTCAAGGTAGCACATTTCCTCTGCCGCAGAGTGTGTCTAGAAATGTCATCTAGGAGCTAGGGCCTCACTACTCTGACTGATGCCCTATCATACTGTGGCTGAGCTGGTATCCAAGATGCAAAAGAAAGTCGTTTTTACTCTTCCTTCTCCTCTCCTGAGATACAAGGAGGGAACTCTTTTGGAGCCACAAGCTGTGCAACCTGGGGTTGGGGAAAAGATGGCAGAAGCACTGCCTTAGCCACCCCAGCTGGTGTCTCAATAGGACACATATCCTGCAAGTCCACTGGCTCTGAGCCCTGTTCAACACTAGTACTAACCTAGGAGTTACAGTCCTTGTGGCCTAGACTGCCTTTCAAGTTTATTTAGAGATCCAGAGCACTTTAGCCCATGGTGGCAAGGCTTGCTGGAACTCAAGTTCCAGCTGCTGGGATGAGCAATTCCCCTTTGACTAGAGCTTGTTTAAATACTCCCTGTATGGATGGGTGTCAGCTTTTAGCCTGGTTTTGCTTTCTGCTGTTACACGGCAGCACTAAGTTGAGTGCAAGTTCTCACAATTGCTGTGCTCTCCCTCTCCCTAGCACAGAGATTTCTCTGTGATATGCAGCCACTGCCAGAGGATGGGGGAGGGGTGGCATTGGCAATATGAGGCTGTGTTTCCTAATCAGTTCAGTGCTTCTTTCAGTGGCATGAAGTTAAAACCAAGTACTGTGAGTACTCACCTGATTGTCAGTTCTTATGAAGGTGTTTTTTCATGTAAATAGCTGTTAAATTGGTGTCATTGTGGGAGGAATCTTTGGTGGAGCTTTGTTTTCTGCCATCTTGTTCTGCCACCTCTCTTGTTTTGGAGTTGACTCGGACCAAACTGCTCAGATAGCAAAGTCATATGGCTAATAACAATTGTCTTTGTTTCTTATACAAGAGAAGATGGTATTAGTAACTCCAATTAACAGGGTATATGTTGTGTCTTGTCTTTCTGACAATGGGACTGCCTTTGCCCTGAATTGCCCACACATTCTTTCTCAGTCCCTCTTGTAGCCAATATCAGACTTTGGCTGAAATTAAGCAGTTGGTGAAGAGCAATAGCTATGGATTAACTAAGGGGTCCCTGTGGGGACTGAGGCTAAATACTTTTGTCTCATTAAGCTAGTGTTCTGAAGTGGAGTCACTAAGCATGTTGATCTTCTCATGGATGCCTGTTCCAGCAACTGCAGTCTTTATGGCTACTAGTAATATTTGTGTATCCAGGTAGATTGGAATTGAAGCATTTATAGCCTTATAGGGTAGAATTATGTACTTTTGTTATTGGTACATAAAATACTGCCATGTATTTCTTTTATATTTGATTTTAACCCTAAAAATTGCAGATTTTAAAATTATTAACATTAACAGAACTTGAGAAAAGTGTATGGTCCTGGTTTGTATTATGTTCATAACAGATTTAAAATAATAAAAAAATTGCTTGTGCCTGGAAACATGTTTTCTGTCCTGTGCATGGGCTTTTCTCCTTCCCATCCTCTCTACAAAAACCAGAGCTGACAGGACCTGTCGGTGCTTTTATGTAAAGTGAAACAAATAAGGCTGCTTCTCAGGGAATGTTTCTTTGATTTCCTTTTCTTTTTCAATTGGTCACCATTAATTTTAAACTTTCCTGGCATTTTCTATGCAATAAGAAGAGGGAAGGGAGGAGCTTCTGGAGGGGGATTCTGGCTCTTCCTGCAAAGTGTTCACAACTGGTTGTCCATTTTGAAACACATTCTGCCTGCATACAAAGAGATCACCACCATCTTTCACATTCAAAGACAATTGACAGTTGGTCCAGTTGCAGGAAATAAGGGTCACAGCAATTTCCATAAGGGGCAGAGTTAATGTGATTCTGGCCACTCTTAATACTGCATGAAAATACCAAGTTTTGTGCAAAAATAATCAGCTTATTGTGCCCACCTTTATCACCAGGAAAGGAGAGCCCACAATCTCTTTTTGGAGACCTAAAAATCTAGGGTGGCTAACTCATTTTTATTGGACAGTGGCTTCAAGCTTCTCATTGTCATCCACTTAAGAGGTTTATTGTGAAGCTCATAGCATTTCTCCTGAGCTAGTTAGAGTGGAGAGAGTGTTTGGAGGAAGAAAATTGTTTCTTAGGAAATTCCATGTTGTAAATAAATTATTTTTAAAAGACTATTTAATTTATTTATTTTGGCAAAATGCAATGTTAGTTCCAATGCTTGGAGATATTTGGGGATTCCTGCTTCATGGAAAAACAACAGGACCTCATGGAAGTCTTTTGCTTGTCGGTTTGTTATTTTTCCTTAGATTCCTTTCTTTTTTTGGTATACATGAGCCAGTATTTGCTATGCATTCATCAAATATTGATGAATAGTGTATTAATTAGGATTAGGTTCAGCTGCTAGTAACAGAAAAAAAATGGCAGTGGCTTAGAAAGAAAAATACATGCTTATCTTCTTTTGACATGAAATTCAGGGTGAATGAAGTCCAGGGTTGTTATGGCTGCTCTGCTCCCTCATGATCTTTCATACTCACCACTTTACTACTCCTAGACTAGAATCCTCAGCCTCATACTATCCTGTGTCACTGATGATGCAGGCTACAAGATACAATAAGGGTGATAAAGAAGAGAACAGAGGAAATTTTTTTTTCTTTGAGAGAGAGTGAGAGAGAAGGGTGGCCACCCTACACTGCTAGGATGCTGTGAAATATAATTTTAATTCTGTGGAGTCCTGAATGAAGATTCTATTGCTATGGAAGAATGAGAGAATATATATTGTAGCATTACTAGCCTTCTCTTTTGCTGTCCATTTCCCTGATTGAGACATACAAACACAGCAGAGGGGATGTAGGGCAGTTCCACCTGTTGTTTCTTCAAGGGGTAGTTTGGAAAACATGGTAGAACTGCCAAACATAATGGAATTAGCTACATGAAGTGCAAAATAAGTTACGATTACATTTGTTCTATGAAACTGTAAAATTTCTAGATGTCCTCAAGTAGAAAATACTGAGCCAAAGAAAACTGTGAGCTGTTCGGCATAGTTCAATTAATGAGTTTTATTTTACCAGGTTGGCATTCTGCGTACCTCACTTAAATATGTTTGTTTATGTCAGGACTTGTTATGATTCTATAGCTTTGGTCACAAATGTTATACTCTCTTTCAGTAGTTCTCTGTTTTGGCCATGGTAATTTGTGGTTTTATTTGTGGCACCTGAGGTTATTTGAAAATCATATCAACAAATTTTGTTTGTTTCTCTCTTGTAATTTCTTGGTGCCTATGTCTCTTCCTCTCAGTCTTTATCTACAGCTTGTGATCCAGTCTGTTCCATGACTAGTTTACAATTTTTTTGTTTCATTTTGGCTAAACTGGACAAAAGTAATCTGTGGTGTCCCTTGGTCAGGAGAAACAGCAACAGGACGATCAGGACCGTGGACAGCGACACTCAAATTCCAGGCTCTAACTCCACACTTCTACAAAAGCTTTGTTTCTGTGTTTGAATGTCCTAACCCTGAGGCAGCAGAGATTCAGGTGAGAGAGTCTGGAAGGGGACAGCACTAGGGGAAAAAGTGAGGAGTGGCTTCCTATATAGCTCCCTACCCACTTCCTTCTGTGCTCCTTCACCCTCATCCCCACCTCACCAAGCAGAGAAGTTTCTCTCCTGAACTCCCCAACCTCTAATTAATTTCCAACATCTACCTCTATTACCAAACTTTGGGAAGTATGATAAACTTAAGGTGGTTTCTCATAATTTACTCGGATGAAATTTATTAAACATTTGGGCATCTTACTGGTTTTAGTTTGTTTTCAATTCAAGTGAATGAATGAAGCACAATTCAAATTATTTGATATATTGCCAAGATTAAGAGGAATTCCTGGAACCCTGCGTTACTAACTCTTGTTTGTTGTTGCTCACCTCAAGTGCAACTTGTTCTAATGATTCTGATTCATTCCTTCCACTCCACACTCATTCTTTACATAGTGACACTATAGACCAAATCCTTATTTTGTAGATAATTAATTTAAAGCCCAGAAAAATTATATAATAAGCTCAGCTGCAAGGAAGATTCATTCAGGTGCCTTGAGCCTGAGCCCAGTTTTTCACTGGCAGATTTGAGCATGAATTTCTTGTTTTCTGACCCTAGACCCACCACCAATCTGATCTACTCTAACACATCACTTCTTTGAGACATGAACATTAATCAGGTACAAGATGGCTATAAAACATAGTTTATGGTCACCTTGAAAAATTATCTAGCTCAACTACCTCACAGACAGATTTTTCAACCACATCGTAGCTTTTTCATTATTATCTATTACCTCTCACTCTTCCATTTTGCACATCTTCCTTTGAAAATAGAACTTTTGAGTGTCACATGCTGTCTATTCTGAATGAGCGACCTATTCTATATGTTTGGACTTAGCAGCTGGATTCTGATGAACTATGAACCGAATGCATCCCTTGTCTGGAAGCTCTCATTCAGGTGCCTTGGGCCTGAGCCCAGTTTTCCAGAGCCCCTTCCTTGGGCTCTCTTATTAGATGCATGCCTTGGCTAATGGTGATTAGTACCAATGTGTGACTGTGTGTGCTCACATCTACTCTAAAGCTGACCTAACAGAGACTTTTTGTAAATTTTCCAATTTGGAAAACTCCCAAATGGAAGACTGACAGAACTCTGGGGTAGGCATGATTTAAAAAAATAAAATCCAAGGAAATTCAAAACACAACATAGTCATTTCACTCTTAAAAAAAAAAAAAATCAGTGCAGTGTCCTAGCATGTGTGGTTGTTTTCCTAATTGATCCTCATTTTTGCTGTTTTTTTTTTTCTCTCTCACTCAGGGCCATATCTAACCACATCCACCCAGACTTCATAAGAATGCTGAGTTGTCATGCAAGAGTTTTACCTCACACTGGGGAGATATTAGTTGATAAGATCCACCTTGTTCAGATTTATTGCTTTAGCATATTTCATGCTAAAAATATTTTTTCTACCATCTGCTAAGATTAGCACTCTAGTGGTATAATAAATTTACTCACCCTGTTTCTGTGATATACTTTGGAACCAACTTTATACTTTATTCAGCCTAATTGAAAATAGGATAAGATAAATGATGCACTTTGAGTTTCTCTCTCAGACATACCATTGTTCATTACTTCAACAGAAGATGAGCACATCTGATGGTAATTTTAGTGGTTCAGTAAAATAAAAGTTCCCATGGCAAAAATACAGTATTAGCCATTGTCATCATCCAGTAGAGTCTTGTAAAAAATATTTAATATTGTTGTGCCCTCAAATGAAATATTGTTTTTCATTTAAATACAAAGCTGCTGGCCATCTTTTCAAAACATGCTATGAAAAGAAATATATTTCAGTGGAAATATGGGACTTGGTATTCATTTACATCTGAGGCTTAAACTGAAGGCCAAATTTAGAATTTGATATATTCTTGGCTTATTGGGAAATTTGGATTTCCTTCTCTTATTCAGTCTTCTTAGGCTTGAGTTGTTTAGACCATATTGAAAGAGAAGAAAGAATATGTTAGGTGCTTTTTATGTTAGATTGTTATCGATCCATACCCTTGTGTAGTTTCCTCTAACTTTGATCCTGGGCTTAAACATGAGACTTGTGTTGGCCCAGAAGACCAGTAAATGTGATGCAAGCAGAGGCTTTAAAAATATTTGCAGATTGGGACTTGGAGCAACATTGCCATGTAAAGAAGTACGGTCTGCTGGAAACAGGTGGCCCAGCTGACAGATAGCACCAAGTGCTAGACATGTGAATGAGGCCACCTTAGATTACCCAGTCCTTGTTGAGCCACCAGATAACTATAGCTGCATGAGTGACCCCTGGTAAACTAGCAGAATTCTATAGCTAAGCTCAAGCCAAATAGTTGACCCACAAAATAATAAGTAAGTAAACTTTTTATTGACTTATGACTTTAAATTTTTTAAAAAATTAAAATTGTGATAAAATGCACATCAAATTGTCTTAAATATAATTCACAAATGTCCAGGGTTGTTTGTTATGCAGTAATAAATAACTGATGGAATACATAAACCCATTCTCTACTGCCAACAGATAACTTTGTGATTAGGATCGAGGATAATGGAGACACTAAAGCCTAGATGAGGTTGTAGTTATGGCTGGATGGACGTTGCTAAGGAGACAGAAATGTACTGGAAGACCAGGAGAAGAAAAAAAATGGGAACAAAAAGTATTGATTATTACTATTTATAAGCATTATGTGCCTCAGTTTCTTCATCTGTAAAAAGAGGATGATAAGAGCACCTATCTAATGAGGATTGAATAATTCACATAAATCACCCAAACAGGTTTGGTGCTTGGCACAGAGAAATCATGCAATAAGTATAAGCTGTTACCATCCTGGGTAAATACACTGTTAGCATATGCTTGATCAAGTTGGAGAAAAGTCTCCTTGCAGCCAAGATATTAGTGGCCCATGAAGTGAAGACACAATGAACAAGAGTGATTAGACTTTGTGATTTTGGATTGGTTCACAGGTAATGAGCACGTCATGGCCCACCTGCAGAGAACTGCTTTCAGATTGGCCACTAGACCTTTTCCAAAGTCCTCTGTAAGAAGGTTAGTTTTAAATCAAGTTAACAATGCACTAGAATAAGGTTTTCAAAAGAAACAATTTACTCTTCAAATTACCAATGTGAACTATCTCTATACCTTCAGACACCAGAAAAGAAAACTAATAACACATATTGTAGCAGGAAAAAAATCTTTTTATCCAGTCCTATTTCTGATGCTCAACCATTTCCTCAATGTAGAAATAACTATCAAAAACTATCAAAAAAATAATATGTTATGCAAAATTATCGAAAATAAATAAAATGTAGGTTTTTAAACTTTCTCATCTTAACTGTGACAGTCTGGTGACAAGGAGATGGCAGGAGTCTGTATTTGAGGATGGGTCTCTGAGCATAAGCATATTCAGCATTTCCTTCCTTCCTTCCTTCCTTCCTTCCTTTCTTCCTTCCTTCCTTCCTTCCTTCCTTTCTTCCTTCCTTCCTTCCTTCCTCTCTTTGTCTCTTTCATTCCTTCCTTCCACTTCCTTTTTTCTTCTTTCTTGTGGGTATTAATGACTAGGAGAGAAGAGGGGTATATGTTTATTAGAATGTTATCATCTGCTGTACCGTTTCTGACTTTATCAGTCATTAAAAAGTGAAAGCACCACCTTTAGCCTTTCTATAGCCTCCGCTTTATTATATCTTCAATTTGGGAAACCTTTGTAGGAGCCAGATAGAAGACCAAATACTGCTTATTTGTAAAAGCAGCACATCACGGTGATCAAGAGACTGGCCGTAAGGTCTAAAAAGGCTGTGTTCAAATCCACACAAAATACTTTCTAGGACTCTGACACCAGGCAGGCTAATTAGTTTCTTTGAGGCTCAGTCCCTATCTGTTAAATAAGGTTAATAATTCTCACCTCAAAAGGTAGTTGAGATGATTAAATGATCTTTATATGCAGTATGAATGGCACATAAATAGTGCTCAAAAAACACTGAGGATATTTATCATTTTCTGTAATAGAACATGCTGGGCTATGTCATGAAATTTTATTCAGCCACCCACTCTGTCCACCTACTCTACATTACTTATGACAAACTGGTGTAGCACAGCTGACCAGGGATAAGGTTAAAACCATGTCCATGCATCAGCACAGACTTCACTCCCTGCTAACTTCAAACTTAGGCCCCAGATGCTATCACTTTAACATCTGGGTCTCACTGATCAACAGGCTATATCTATGCTTTTGACCTTTAGCTGGTTTTTCAAATGAAAAGCAGCAGAAGCAACATTTAGAATCATCATGACATGTTATAGTTTGAGAAGACACTAGAGATGATTAGCCCAATCATCTCTAGTTCTTTCTTCAAACATGTATTATCCAATAGGGTAGCCACTAATCACATGTGGATACTAAGCACTTGGAATATGACTAATCTGAATTGAAATGTGCCATAAGTGTAAAATATACACCAGATTTTGAAGTCTTGGTATGAAAAATAAATATAAAATATTAAATAATAATTTTGTATTAATTACATGTCAAAATGATAACATTTTGGATATGTTAGATTAAATAAGGTATTAAAATTAATTTTGCTTTCAATTTTTTTAATGTGTCTACTAGAAAATTTAAAATTACATATGGATTCACATTTGCATCTCACATTGTGTTTTTATTGGGCAGCACTGTTTCAAACAAAACAAATTAGGCATGGAAATGTGAAGTGACTTGCCCAAGATAGCTCAGCTTTCATCAGCAGAACACAGATGTGATTCCAGATCCCTTTGCTAACAGCGTTTCTCTCAACATGCAACCTTCTCCTGCTAAATATTTTTTTTTTTGAGACTGTAGAGTTGGGTCCCTGAAAACTGAAGTTTCTTTGGAAAACACTGCCAGCACCTCCTCTGTGACCAGCTGTGCTTTTTTTTCTTTTTCTTTTTTTTATTGCACTGCCTTGGAGACTGTGCTGCTGTTATCCATTTCTTGCGTCAGTTACAGAAATTGGTATTGTATCTAAAACAATTGCTGTTATTAACAGGTTAAGCTGCTGGGATGTTAAAATAAAGGCTGCCCAGCTTTAGTGCATTTTGTTGTAATCATCTCCCAGATGCCTTGTCGGAAATCAATTCAAGTTCAAAACTGGCTGGAATTGGGAGGTCAAGGCTTTGGCAGACTAAATATTTTATCTTCTGCTCATGTCTGGAGCTTTTAAAGATGTGGACCGGGGGCTGTTTTCTCATACCCCATCTGGACAAAGATGATTGGCTTTGCCATTTTGCCCAGGTTAGGACAAGGTTAAAATCAGTTATAATCAATTATTAAGAGTCTTCTGTGGCTGCATTGCTTAAAAGGGGATTTTAAAAGTTTCTCAGTTCTGAAACATGCATATCTTAGTTGCTACTGGAGATGTTGTTATTCTAGAATGTCAAATATAGATGTTATCAGCATCAAGAATAAATACGAAGAATTTCTACTTCCTATTTCCTTGATAACTATGTTTCAGGATAATGAGAAAAGCCTAGAAAGACTGAGATAATCATCATTCCTGCACCAAGTTGAAAAATTTTGTTACCTTCTTATATGTGTTAGACTATTGTAGCTATTTATTATTTGGTTACATTGTCAAATGATTTCTTAGGAATTTACTGAGATGCTCTCTGCAGTTATGTGATCATTTGCTGTGTAAATGCACATGTAACTCCTCAATCTAAGGTAGGTTCAAAGAATCATAGATTTGTAATTGCATAGTAATTTTGAGACAAGCTAGATACAGCCCTACATTTTATGATAAGGAAACTGAGGCTTGGATAATTTAAATGACTTCCCCTAATTCTTAAAGCTATCCAAAGGGAGAATTGTATCTCTTAGTTCCTAAAAGCATGTGTGGTCCCTAAACATTCAAAGGAATATTTTCATTTTATACAATATTTTCATACACTTATGATTTTCTTCACAATGATTTGAGAAAAAAAAGTATTCATACAAAATGAATATCATTCTGAACCTTAGACCAAGACATGAACTCAATAAACAGAATATAATTTTAAAGTGTTCTCAAAAGGTCACTTAGCTTTATCCTTCATCTCATTTCCCATGAATGGAAATCCCTTGTATTTTCAGGTTTAATACAGACCCAGTAGCTGAGGGTTCAAAATGCTGCCAGAAAAAACATTCCATTTTATTTACAGTCTGTTTAGAAGGAAAACTCCAGCAAATATACCATAATTTCTCTGTAGACATGTTCAGTACCAGTTATTGAATGGTGAGTGTGGACTATGTTCTTTGCTGGTATAGGAGGAGCCTGGCATTAACAAACACTGACATATTTTCATAGCAAGTTCCTCATCCTTGTAATATACTGAAAAACAACAAAACAAAAACTTGCTATTTCTAATTTGAGGGAAAAAACCTCATGGATTTATTGGGGGGCATACGATTGAATTTTAACACTTGCTCATCTCTCCATCAGCAAAATAAAGTCCCTTGTATTGCTTGCTTACTTTCCTCCAGCTCATGTTGGCAATAGAACTGAAGTATAATACATGTAAAGCATTTGAAGAAACTAAAATTAGAAGGTCACAGGTAGGGCCGTAGGAATCATACTCGTGTAGAAATCAATGCAACACTACATAGTGGTGGTGAGAACACAGCTTGGGCCCAGACAGACCTGGTTTTGTGTCTGATTCCATCCTCACTGGCTGTTTGGCCATAGACTGGTTACTTACCTTCTTTAGCTTCAAATTCTTCCTGTGAAAAATGGGGGTTTCAATTATGCTTACCTCATGGAGTTGTGTGAAGATTAAATGAGAAACTACCTGAAAAAGACTTATAAAGCTTGGTGTACAGTCAGCTTTCAATATATCTAAACTATAATGATGACAAATTATCACCGCTTATAATGGTAGCCTCAGTAGCAGCAGCCACAGTGGTAATATGTATATTCCTATTTCTAACATTGTATTATTTTCTTTGGGATCCATATGTACACATACAGGATAGAATTGCTTCAATGTCTGTTCAGATCAAAAGTTCTGGGTGAATTTTTTCACCTTGGTTTATTTCACAGCAACACAATTCATATGACTGAACCCTTCAAACCTTTCTCTGCTGAAAGAATGCGTTGTTCATTTGGATCATTGGTTCGATTCTAAGAACAGTTTATTCACTGCATGTGCACAGAAAACCCAATTCTGATATTCCAAGTGCTAATTAATTGGTAGAAATTTTTACTCTTTCTTTCTGCATTCAATCTAAGTTTGTAGCACATTGTATTAGAACAAGCTTTTAAAACCTTTGAAGCCCGCCCCGTGGGCAGCATGATGCCATGGTTAAAGGATATGTCAGGGTTACAGAGTAAGACGGACTAGGGAGTTTTGTCACTTACTGGCTGATCCTTAGCAACGTCCACTCACCGAACTGAGCCTCTGGTTCTTCATCTGTAAAGCAGAGAGGATAATACTTACTTCCTAATATCATTTTGGGTGTCAAAATTAATACAATGCAAGTAAAATTCTTAGCACAATGCCTGAGACATGACATGTTCTTCTTAAGTGGCAACTACTATTTAAATTTTTACGTTCTATATTTATACAAGTCATAAAATGTGGTATTTATTTCAGGGCAGTGAATAAACATTCAGATTATATCCATTCATTCATAATGTCAGTCCACAAATGCTGATTGATTGATAACTTATCTGTAGCAGATACTGTGCTACAGCTGCAGGAAAATGGTGAGCAATAGAAACGTTCTTAGAAAAGAAATAGTACAGCTCTGGGGGAGCGTGGCGAGAGAGAAAAACTAAACGAGTAATTTCAGTAAATTAATTATAGCATCATTGCTTATTAATTCCCATTGGACTTGGTAGCTACTTTGGCTTGTCTCACTGTAGCTAACAGCTCAGATCAGGCTCTGGAATCTCTGGATTTCAGGTACACATACTTTGCTTCCAAGTTATGCAGACCTTTGCCCTTTGTTTACATAGCTCCTTCATCCAAACATCTCAAGCACTTAAAATTGGCCCAGTAACTACCTAACTTACAAGGGAAACTAAAAATGTACTCTACCTGTTAGAGTGTTGACATAGTGGCAGATAAAGAAGCTCGAGAAAACTACCCTGTGTTTTCAAAGGTACCCAGTGATGTCCTGTCCTCTATTTTCCCTTGCCTGGGTATAGTTTCTTCTTAATTGGTTTTGCATCTGATAAGATGAACATTGAACATTTGCAGTATGTTTGTCGTCTGTTGCCAATTACAAGCTACTGATCTTCAGCAGGGCCTGCCATCTTTGCATTCAGCACAGCCTTCCCCCATTCTATTTGGATCTACTGGCTTAGTACCAGATATGGAAGCGTATGAAAAAGTAAAGGAGAATAAATAATCCTGTGTAGTTTTCTTGGAGCAAAAATGTTTCGGAGGAATGAGTACCCCAGAGGTCCCCTATTTCCTTTACCTTTGTGAAAGGAACACCCTATGCTTTAAATAATGATTCATGCAGTATGCACCACATCCAAAGAGTAAACGCAGAGATGAAAGCTTCTATTTATTCTGTACAGTGAAAATAGAAATCTGGAAACAGCATCTGCTTCTCATTTAAATGTATTTTTTTCTAATTATTTAGATGTATAGAGGCATCAAGCCAGGTTTCAATCAACAAGAAAGGTCTTGTGCTATCTAAACAAAATCTTATGCCTGAAGCCACTGGTCATAACACTTAAAATGGCTTAAAGACCTCAACAGGGCTTTTTATGCAAAGTAGTTGTATAGCATGGGTCATGAACAAATATGTTATTTTTGCTTAAAATGTAATCTGAATGTATGGAGAAATATTGCTAGAAATATATTTCCTGATCCCTAAAAATAGCAGGTAATTAACCTTGGCTCAGAGTCACCTTACCTTTTGAAGAATAAATCCTGGAATCATGACTTTTGTGTCTTGTTTTTAGTGGAGAAGAAAAAAGACTAGAGCTATGGATGATTTGATTATATGGATTAGTTATTAGGAGCATTTAAAAGAATGCAATTTTTCAAATATCAACTTATATAATTATGGCTCCCCCAATTCCACGACTCATAAAATAGGAGATTCATATAAAGAAACTCTGGTTTTCAGAAACTCTGAAACTATTCACAATTACCCATAGGTGAATAAATATACCATAAAATTTAGAAGAAAAAGGAATCAGACATTTTGACGAAAAGGGTCCTGAGAACCAACAAGCCTTTTTAACATCTGGATGTGGGAGCCCAGCCCGTGTGGTAGACCTGCAACTTCCAGAGAGGTTTGCTCTGCACAGATGATCCCACAGTAACGATGAAGATAGAAGCAAAGGAGTGTTTGAATGAGGACAAGAGACGGCTGGCCCAAATTGGTTTAGAAATGGTATTTGCAAGGCACTGTTAGAAAATGAAGCTACCCCTTCATTTTGGGTTAACCCCTTCTGTTTACCCCTTCCCTCCATGAAGACAAGGCTTTTAGTATTTTTTTTTTTACTTTTTTTTTTCTATTCTTAGGTACACTTAGAACTGTTTCTATGTACAGTTCTAAGCTCAGATTGACTTAAGAGAAGTTGATCTCCTGTCCCCTAATTATTCTCCATGTCAACTTCTGGCTGATTAGAACTAGAGGCTGAAAGGATGTTGATTTGGGGGAAAACTGTATTTTCTGTTATTTTTCAGATAATTTTTAGTCTGCTCTGTAGATGTAAATTGAAAATATTTTTTTTTCCTTTTTAAACTTTCTCTCTCTTTCTCTCTCTCTCTCTCCGGCTTGCCTACCATACCTATTTTAGTCTTATTTTACTAGCTCTCCAACCTACTGCACTCATGACCTTCTCTGATATATGATAATTGAATTTAGGGCAAGAGTTTACATTTTTATATACTTTTTTTATGATTTATAACCTGCCTAATTTCGAAAAGGATTTGAGGCAGCAAGAGTAAATGGCACTGGGAGTTACATGGATATTTTTACCCTGCATTTGGCCCATTTTCTTTTAGGCTGCATACATTTCCATAACTCTGAACAAGGATCATGTTTGGATGACCTTTTGTCCAGGGTAGAATTCACAGATTTGCAGTAGGTAGGAAATGAATACCTCAGTATTTACAAAATCACCAGAGGCACATTTGAATGAATTAAATATTTCTACTATTCCAGTTTTGGTAATGGTACTAATTATATTGTTTGGTACTTAAGAAATGTTTCCTCTTCTGGAGGGGAAAGAGGTGGGGAAGATTTAAAGTACCTCTTGGATTGCTGTGTGACTTTGGGAAAATCACTGATTACTCTGAGTTCACCATTCCATGTCTGTTAAATGGGGATAATAAACCAACAGCATGTTTATTATGAGGTCATTGTGAGGATCAAATGAGATAATGTACCTGTAAAAGCTTAGAAAACAATAAGTCACTATGTATTATGCAGTCAGTGTGGGCGAATGCTTTATTTACTTCCGTCTCAGCCTCATACAGTGAGCCTTATACAGTGAGAGAGACCAGGCCCTAGCTCTTCCGGATGCTCTAGGAAAAGTGCTTCATTGTGTTTGGGCTTTATTTATTGAATGCATTTGAATGAGTGATCATTCTAAGAGCAGAAAGTCATTCAATTTGATTTCACAATAGGGTGATGGGTGAGCCTGGAAACTACATTCTCAAATGCATTATCCCCAAACACAGGAAACAAAACCACTTTTTAAAAGTGACTCGTCTTTAATATCTCATAGCAGTTTTGAAATACTTCATTCATTCATTTTTATAGCAAACTCTTAATTGAGAATGTCATTAACCACTTTGCAGAGAGAGGCAATCATGACCTGAAAAATTAAGTGGAGTGATTTACAAATAGGCTTTTGTTTCGCTAGGTTTTTGCTTATTCAGGACTTGCCTTTAGATTATTTTAGCAACATATGCTCCCCTTTCCCCACCCCATTGGCAGTATGTATTTTGGGTGTCTGATACATACTGAAAATGAAGAACAGTTTTCGTATGTTGCTTTTTCCTGGTCCACATTGGAGAGTCCTTCTGACCCTTTTATTCTCAAAATCAAACACTATCATTTTCCTTCTTCAGAACATTTTATCTTCTCACCTTACTGTGTGTCAAAATTTCTTCCCATGTGGGCCAGACAAGTATGTTATGAATGAATGAACATTGGGTCCACTTCCAGCTTTTCTCTGTGAAACCAACTTTGACTGAAGTCCACAGTGAATTTCCTCTCTTAATTTCCTTACAATTCATAGTCTCAATAATTTAGCCCTTTAAAAAATATATTCCCTTTCCCTTCTTTTAAAAATATTTTGTCCCTTCTCCTCCCTGCCCTGACTGTATTAGAAGCTATCTGCAGAGGGCTGACTTCTAAGTCAGATAAACTAGAATGAAAGTACTGCCATTTACTAGTTGTGGCATCTGAGGCACCTGGGGATGATAATAATAATAATTACTTTATAGGGTTGTTGAAGGGGGTAAAAGAGGTAGGTTATATGAAGCATAAAACATATTATATGGGCTCATTAAATTCTTGTTCTGAGATTAATTTACTGATTCTTTTCTAAGGAAAGCTTTCTTTTTAAGGAGTGGAGGGAGAGAAAGACCTCTCCTTTTTTAAAACCAAGGACACATGTCCCCAGTTTTTGTCCCCCAAACTTATGGCCCCTTAAACTATTGAAGATTTTGTGAACTTTCATTTAATTTCATTCTTGAAGCTTAGTCAATTGTTTATTGCTTTCAGATCATTTTACTTAACAGACATTAATTGAGCTCCTATTATGTGTCAAATACTGTACTTGACACAATGAAGAAAATTTCTATTAACTTCTAAAATCCCTGTCTGCAGATCTGTGAAATAATTTTTTATACCATGGATTCATACAGTGTTCTTCCTTTCCCCATGTTCCCTATATGCCATCTTAAAAATTAAACTTGGGCAAGGGAAGAAAATATCTATGGAGAGAACCCAGTGGATTATAGCATTCAAAGTTACTTTCAACAGGCTGAACACCTAGGATACTGTTTGGGCAAGGTATGAGCCATGCCCAACTCATGTCATCCTATAGCTATCATGCTTACATTAACACATTGTTGTATACAAGTAACTATGCCTTACATCACATCATTTGATCCCCTTTGTCTTTATTATTAATAGATGTAGATCCACCACTTTAACTCATAGTCACCATAGTTTACCCCATTTTAAGTTTGTACATGCAATCCATTTAGCCATAAAACACATTATTCCAAAAGCAATATTTAGCTAGTCTAACAGTATTAACAGTCTACCACCAAAAATTCCTGACAAATTTGTTATTGTACAGGTCAGAGCATTCATAGTTTCTAACTAGGATAAAGCAGCTTACTTAGATTTACAAGACAAAAACAAAGCTGAAACAATTTTGCCTTGATGATACCAAAAACTCAGTAATTGCTTTTCTCTTCCCACTTGTAGTAATGGATAGCAAACGGATTATTATTGACATTGGTAGTTTCATCAAATTTTCAAATTGGGAGATACCAGCTAGTCACTTGTTCTTCAAATTGTGGTTTATGAGCCTGCAGCATTGGCATAACATAGGAGCTTGTTTGGAATGCAGAATCTCAGGCCCGCCCTAGAGCAACTGAATCAAGATCTGTATCTTCACAAAATACCCAGGTGATTTTTACACTCTTTAAATTTTTTGAAGCGCCATTCTAATCCACCTTCATCTCTGTCCTCCTTTAAGAAATGAGAAAGTTCACACTCAGAGTTAGTGTAGAGCTAAGATTAGAACCTCAGCCCCCTGACTCCAAGGTTACTGCTCTCTTCTGTGCTCAGAGCAACCTCAATAGCTTCTGAGTACAGTGTGGAAGTGAGTGACCCTTGCCCACCACTTGATGTTTGGTGGTCTAGTAAAGTAGACTGCAAGATTAGAGAATCACCTTCTCTTTAACCTCCATTCCTTTTCTGTGAGAAACTATTTGGCTTATCACCCCCTATGGCCTAAATCCTCCCAAAGAAGAGTGAAGCTTTAATGAGGCTAGAACCCTCTTATTGTCTTGAATTTTAGATGTTTGTCAGCATCTATGATAGGAATTCTTTCCCTAACTCACAGTTCATGGTTGTATAGTGCATCTCCATTCATACGAGGAGGATAGAAAAAGCTGAGCCAAACCCTGTTAACAAAACAGTCCCCCGAAGGGCTATAATATTGCTCAGTGGTAATATCATCCCTATGCATTTTATCTTATACATGAAATCTTGACTAATTATCATTTTCTCATACAGTACATTTTAGACCATTGTGTTTTTGTGTCCCTGCCTAGTTCATTAAGCAGGGTTTTACGGCTCCTCCAGTAACAGAATCGCTATTGACACTTTCATTAGACCCATAATTCAAATGCTTGTCTGCCTTCCAAATGGAAGCCTCTGAGTCCAGAACCACAATCTGGCCACCAACCGTATGTTGGCTTTTAGAACTGTCATAAACTCATCATCACATTCAAGTTCTTGAAGGGTCAAAATCTGCTTTCTTGGTGAACTGTCTTCATCCAACAAACAGTCAACGTGTTCTCCAGGAATAGTCAGCCAATTTTTCTCTGTCGCTCTCTGAAAACTCTTCCAGACAGTTCTCAGTGTGGTATGACTATAGCACAAATAATCAGTGTCCACATTTAAATATTAATTCTCTTATTTATTCATTCATTCAATTATTTTTACAATTTAAGACCAATATACCAAATATTATGGCAGTTGCTGTAGTGATTTAAAGATGAATAAGATGGTGTCTGCCTTGGAGTTTCTTATCGTCAGAAGATATGTATATAAATCACTATGTGAAAAATTTTACTTCTAAGTTGCCAACAGTTGGAACGGCGGTGATTGTAGATTTCTTTGCTCTAACTAATGGCTATTATCAACACTGGTTCTTTACCAGTGGTTCAAATGGAAATAGACTCGACTAGACTAAGTAGAACTATATATATATGAAATATATCACAGAATATAACCTTAGGAGCAAATGGAGCCAATTCCCCAGTGATACAGCTGATGGGCATTAGAGAGAAGGTGGGATCAGATCAGAGACAGCAGTTGCTTTAGTGATCACAAAAAACAGTCTTTCATTATCAGTAGGATTTTGATTTTCTCTCTAAAAATGTTCAAGAAGAAGTTCAGTGAAAATATTTGATTTAGTTTACAATAAACTTTTTAGAGGTGCCTCCTAGACATCAAAAATTTTTGCTTTTGGCTGAGCACAGTGGCTCATACCTGTAATCCCAGCACTTTGGGAGGATGAGGTGTGTGGATCAATTGAAGTCGGGAGTTCGAGACCAGCCCGGCCAACATGGCAAAATCCCATTTCTACTAAAAATACAAAAACTAGTTGGGGGTAGTGGCACATGTCTGTAATCCCAGCTACTGGTGCGGCTGAGGCAGGAGAATCGCTTGAACCCAAGAAGCAGAGGTTGCAGTGAGCCAAGATTGTGTCACTGCACTCCAGCCTGGGCAATAGAGCAAGACTCTGCCTCAAAATAAATAAATAAATTATACTTTTAATTTTTGCAGAAGTAAATATCTTGAGCAGGAAGTCTGAGCAGATTATATACCATCAGTGTGAAAGAGAAGATTTTCACCTTTACAGAAGACTTTTAGCGATTTAATTAAACAGAAAATTGTAGATCATATTTTTAAATGTACAATTAGATATGTTTGGTTTAAACGACTGCTGACTGGGTACTGTGGTTTTGCTTTCTGTCCAATTAGATCAGAGAGAAAAAAAATTGTTTTTGGGTCCTTTCATCTTCCTTACATCTATGCCTAAAAAAAAAAAAAAAAAGAAAGAGAGAGGAAAAAATGGAAAAGACAAAAGTATAGGCTGGTGCCATTTATTCAAGTCTTTTCATAGGTTTTGACTTTACCTGAGCACACACATTGGATTACCTACCTCATTAGCTTTCTTCCAACCAAACCCAGAGCCTCTTTCCTGAAGTGGAAAGGTCCTTTTCTAGAGTGGACTCAGACTGTTAAGCAGAGGAAGTGTGTGAGGCTGGACTCCACTGCTCGTTGGAGTAATGTGGCTTCGTTTTGCAGTAATATTGCTGTGCTATTGAAAAATGACTTCAGTATTCTTCTCAGTGCATTTCATTCTACCACATGCACTTTCATAAACATGTCCAATCACGTGATGGAGGTCAACAACAGTGTGGGGTTTAGAAATTGTTGCTTGGAAATCACACTCACTTAAATACCTGAATCTGTTCATCAGCCATGCCATAGCTTATTCCAAGCCTGTGCAGAAGAGTGATTTGCAATCGCCTTGCTTTTCATTTCAAGTAGCATCACTCACTTTAAGCCAGATATTCAGGCCTCTTCAGAAGCCTCCAGGGTGAAGGACAAGTAAGAAGAAGCTTATTGAATCTTTCACAACTGTGGCCAGCTACATCTACTCCTGCATCAAACTCAGTACATCTTTCTTTGGTGTTTTATTTCAAAATCACTTATTCTTCCTTTTACGTGACAAATAATAGAGATTTTGCCACACAGTTTCAGGATCCAGATGGCTCTTTTGTGGTTCTATACATTTAATTGATCACTATCCAGGTTGAAGTCTGAGCCAGAGTGTCTGGGATGGAAGAAGAGGACATAATGTTTATTTTTGCCAATCCTTCTTTGAGTTATCTTCTCTCATCGTCTATAAACTCAGGTTGCATAACTACATTCTGTTTTTTTTTTCTTTTTCACTTACAGGGACTTACCAATTTGGGATTCTTCCAGGAGCTGAAAACTGATTGCAAATATGAAACAGATTTCACTACAGGACTTGAACCCTACATTAAAAAACAACAAGCTCCCCAAAATAATTGAAAAAGATCTTCACCAAAGAGTAGCTGCAATGTGAATGGCAGGATATGAAGCAAGTAAGAGGTAAATTTTGTATGAAAACATCTTTTCTTTATGGCCAGATATATAGAAAATATTCATATGGCCTTAAGGTAACATTCTTTCTCAGGCAAAGGTCAGAGGACAGAGGATCTTTTATATAATCAGCAAAAAAAAAAAAAAAAACAAAAAACAAAAAAACTGAATGATCCGGCCTATTCTGGGCCTGTCTGTCTAGCTATCAATTATAGAAATATTGCAGAATGCCAGATTCTTTCTAAAAACATTATTTCGGAGGAGTGGGCTTGCTTAGTAAAGGAAACATCCTCCACAAAAAGCATCCGTGGGAACATTTGATAATTTATTATGCTTCAGAAATTCTGGTGCACCATCTTGAAAACCTACCTCCTGATTACAAAGGATCAAATAAGGAGCAAAAGGCAATAAAGCCTTTAAATCCTTTTTATCTTGATGTTTGAGGAAAAAATATAAAGAAAGTGGATTGGGCTTCCCAGAATATAAAAAGATCATCTGGAGTAGGTACTTGCCATCTTAGCTTTTTTCAGTAAGAAAAGAGGGAAAAATGAATATGTACATGTGTGTGTGTTTATACATACACATATACACATACATTGTGTGCGTATATATATATTTACACCTGCAGTTAATATCTCAGTCTCAGTTGTTTCTCTCTTCTGGCCTATTAAATAATTTCTGGCTTCATCTTTTCTGTCCTGCCTGGAAGGGCCTATGAGTTGCCAGATTCATTCTGGGGCTTGTATGAAGCAGAATCTGAAGAATTGGGAAAGAATAGAAGGAACAAAAGCCATGGTGTCCTACTCTCATGAGGAAAGCAGTGAGTTTGGAATATAGCAATGAAAGGCATTCAATCCTCCAGAATAAAAAGGCAGAATGGGGGTTGGGTGGCTAATACCCGAGGTGTAAGTGTGGAGAGACTCCAGTGAGTGAGGATGTGGCATGAGAATTCTAGGAGATGGTGGGAGTGATTTGGGGAGAGATGATGGAGTTTGAACAGTCAACATGTGAGCTCACAGAATGAGCTATTCAGAAAAGCAGGGTATTAGAAAATGAGAGATGATGGGAGGTATTAATAGTAATTGCCATGGACTGTATTTTTGGCTTTCCTTTATTTCTTCGATGAATGAGTAAGGGATAGAATCCCCCAATTTTCAATGAAATGTCACTTCAGGTCTGAACACATGGGTGCAGCCTTTGATAAGGTTTCACCCACAAAGCAAATATCTCACTGGGTACTCTGGCAATGGGATTCTTTTTAAAAGAAATCATAGCGTCTTCTCAATGCCCAAGCCTCTGCTTGACCACTGGTTTTCCAGTTCTCTTCATATGGCCTAGTTTTATAAAGTACAGAGCTGAGAAGGAGCTGCCCTCAGCTTTAGCCTTGGAGGAATCACAAACTAGTTGCAGGACCCCAAGTCACTCATCTAAAGTAATGACGTGCACTAATTAGGGATATGGGACTAGGGAGTCACAGATTTTGCACAGGTTATTTAACCTTCTTCAGGCATTGTTTCTTGTATCTATACAGTTGAGACATTAGAAGAATCTCCCTTGTGGGTTTTTTTTTTAATTAAATGCTGTATGCAACGCTTCACAGTACTAAGCTCAACCAATATTAGCCACCATGGTTACAGCTGCTAGGATTATTATTGGTGGTGGCAGCGTTGTTAATCCCTGGCCCTCAGTTTCCTCATCTTTAAAATGAAAGGATAAGATAAAACTTCCTCTCTGCTCCCTTCCAGCTCTAAAAATACTTTCCATAATTCCTGAGTTTAGGAACACCTCCCACAAGAAACAGGCAACGGGCCACGAGACAACTCGTTTTCACCCTAAGTCTCTTACAAATATTCAGGTTATTTTAAAACGCCACTCCCTGGAGAGGGCCCAAGATTTCATTTAACATGAGCTTTGCCAACTTCAGTATCTTGCTCAGTACTACTTGCATACTTGTATTACTGAATAAGAAAAAGGGTTGGATTTTTTTTTCTCTTTCCATCTATCACTGAACCTACTTGAACTACTTTCAATTTATCCTGTAGGTATGGGACACTAGTTAGTAGTTCTGCCATTTACAAAAAAAAAAGATATTCTCAAAAGTATATTTTCCTTTTCCTTTTTTTCCTCCACCCTCTTTTTCCTCTTTTTTTTAAAAGAAGATATTAAAATCCTAGTTCTTCTGTGAGAGGAAACAGACCATCTCTTTCAAAGACTTTTAGGCTATATCTGCTCTTTCCTTGATTTGCTTGGTAGCATCTCGGCCACAGGAATACAATACTGATAGAGTTGTTGATTGGTCCTAGAATATATCACAGTCCCTAAATACATGAAATTAAAAAAAGAAAAAAGAAATCAACATGGTTCTGAAAGGAAGGTAGTTAAAATTCAGAAAGAGAGATTCTTTAATTAACTTAATAAAATTACTAATGGAAGCATTTTAACTGCTAAATTTAATTTACTTGTCAAGATATCAGGCTACAAAGAGGAGGGAAGAGTAGGAACTCTGCTTCCCATTATGATGTTCTCTATTATAGAATAAATTTGCTTAAAATGAAATATATCACCAGAAGCCATCAATGACATCTTAATTTGGAACAGCCAGTTGAAAAGTAATTAGACTATGAAGCAATCAGTTCTAGTAAATCAGTGTTTCCCTTTACATAAACATACATTTTTTTCCTATTTATATACAGGCAAGACTAGACTTTCAGGTAGTAGGCAAGCAAAGAAGCGGATTCTTTTGGCTGTCGGTGTTTCTACTTTACATTACCAAGCTGTCAAAACAAAATGTTTTATGATAGGATTAAAAAATGTATAAGCATCTGATTTGATTTAGTGTTTATATTTATATGTTGAACTGAGGAGAGTTTGCTTATCATAGGGGTTTAAAAGATTTACATTTGTCTGCTTCTTACTTCCAAAATGCTTTCCAGATCCACAGGCAGCCCTGACACCTTACTTCAATGAATGAAGCCCAGTCAAAAATCAAACAAGAGCTCTGCTTCTCCCTGCAGGGCCTCTCCTAACTTACATAAATAAACGGAGAGAATGTGGTTGCTAATGAGACATGGTTTGAGACTGAGGTGGGAGTGGTTAAAATTATCCTTTGGTTTAGCAACTGAAAATTCACCATTAGGAATTTCTCACATTGTAACTGACCTTCCTAAAAGTGTGTTTGTTTGTTTATTGTTATGAACAGCTAATACGGGACATGGGTAAAACAGAAATAATGCATATTTAATTTGATTATGAAAAGTTAGCACAATTTGGCAAAGAGATATCAAAAATTCAAGTATCAAACTACTTTATAGTAGGAAACACTTTCTGTATATATCTTTTCTGATCACCTTAGTACCCCATGAAGAAGATGTTTTCAACTTCAATTTACAGACATGGAAATCGAGGCCCAGAGAGGTTAAGTGTTTTGTGCAGGCAGTGGAGGTAGTTAATGGAAGAACTCGGGCTAGAATTAGGGCTTCTGGGCCCCTGATACTCTCCACAACATCTGCTTCTGATGATGGAATCCCATCTGTTATATGCTGAGGGGAAGAGGTGTGAGAAAAATAACTAGAGGAGCTATCAATCACTCAGCAAAATATTTATGAAGGACATCATTCAGATATTAGGGGTGTCACCATTGTCACCAGCTCTGAAAAATCAGAGAGGATGATGAATTATGCCAAAGAGAACATTAGCTCAGAAGGTAGAGAATATCTTGCAATGACATGCTTATGTTAGTATGTATTATTTCCAGTGGGAGAGAATGGTATGAGAGAGGAAAATAAAGGATAATTTTATAGGGAGTGAAAATAAGCTACACCTTGTGATTAAGAGAGAAATGTGGGAAGTCTCTGAAACCTGGTTCTAGGATCTGCCAGCATGCAAATCACTTAACAGTATGCAAATTACCTGGGCCTAATAGAGTAAATCATGTCCATCCTGCCCGCGGCCTATTTAGAAATGTGATCATTGATAATGATACTACAAAGTACTATTCCTCACTGGAAGACAAGAGATTGGAAGGAAATCTGATATGGATGATGCAAGGGGAGTAAGTATTAAGATTTGCAATTGTAGATAGGTGTGAAGTAGGCTAAAACAATACAATTAAAGTGTAAATTTTAATTACACTTTAGTGTAATTAAAGTGTAAAGTAAAATTAAAGTGTAAATTGCACTGGCCAAGTGAGAGAACTGGGCAGAACACAGGGACTGCAGGACCCTTCTGCCTCTGGGAATCTAGTAAAAAGACAGTCTGTTATCCGCAGTGGCTCCTCAAGATCTGTGTGTAACAGGACAATTGCCTGAGAGTGGAGATGGCAAGAACTATATAAAAATAGACAGAACAACTTAAAGTTACTAAGGAAAAGATAAGGAGTGCAAAAGTGGAAAATGAGATATTGCTAGTAAAAGAGGTTAAATGGAGTAAGGAGATCTTTTATAAATGTATCGGGGGAAAAAGTGATCCTCGAGAAAAAGACTACTGAATAAATAAGAGAAGGGTGTCAAATTAATGATGGCTGAGATATTGACTTCCTGCTTTAAGTCAGTTTTTAAGAGAAAAATGAGAAGAAAATTTGGACACCTGGAGGGCAATAATGTCTTTTAAAAATAAGTATTGACAAAGAGGATGGGAGGAAATTTAGAAAAAAATTAAACTTTGTGGCATATACAGATGGTAAGTTTCAAATAATATGCTTCCTAGGGAATTAGATTCCCTGCCTGTGAACAATACACAGACATGGAAGAAGGACAATACAAACTAGAGAGATGTCGGAAGCTCGTCAAAACAAATGTGTTTCATATAACAGTAAAATAAGGGTTGGGGCAGATTGGGAAGGCAGACATAGGACAGGCTCTCTAAGTGTTGTGTAAATTTGTGGCATATTTAGTCATGGCTATGTGGCAATTGCAATTTTAGAAAATTAGTGAAAACTTTCTTCTTGTATTCAGTGAGAAAGGAAATAAATCGGATACCCCATACAACTAAAATGTATTGTAGATACTCTAAAAGTACAAGAGAGAGTTACTGTTTTATGGGGAAAAGTAAAACAATGATGCAGTCCTTAAATATTACATAAGCATTGAAATATTGATTTAAATAGCTACGTAAAATTGGAAAATTCAGAGCACGGTGGAAAAAACATCACCCTAAAGAAAATTTCAGATCCTAATAAAATTTCCAGACTAAATTATCAAAATCCAACCAATTAATAGGAAGCTACTAATTGTTTGGGAATAATCATTTAGGGAAACTTTTGTTGACATTAGGCAATATATTTCTGTGGGATAAAGATGCAAGTGTAAGCGTCAGAATTTGACAGAGAGAATAGTTTATTGGCAGTGAATTCTTAAGATAGTGTCTTAGAATATTTGCCCCTGAACATTTTCGTCAACATTCCTACCCGATAGGCTATCTTAGTTGACAGAGTGTAGTTAGTGGAGCTCAGTGGCTTCTTGGTTTCTCTGACTTTTGGTGTTCTCTTTTCTTCTCACAAGGTCCTCTTCAATAACTAAAATCATCTGAGATTTGTGGTATACCACTCCGTTGACACACTGGTCCTATGCTCTGCAAGGAACCTACAGCTCCTGCCCTGGACCAGCTTATAGTCAATCATAAGTCAAACCCGCATTTGCGGTTCCTTGCTAGTTGAGTGCCCCAGGCACAATGAGGGAAGAATATAAAAGGATGAAGTTCTAGGGAAAGACAGGTGGCAGAGGTGAGACTCAGCCTCCTCCCTGAAGAATGTGTGGAATTTAGACACACAGAACAAAGTGAGGAGAGAGCAGTTCATCAGTCCGAAAGTCTACAAGCAGAGAAGTGCATCTGCACAAGGGGACGGTGATTCGATCTTTTCTGTTGGAGCAGACCCTTAGAAGGTAGCAGGGTGCAACTGTGATGTGGTAGGGCTGTTTGGGGAACTGAAGACGTGGACACAAATCAGGGCTCTGACTTTTGGGAAAGCCATTTTCTCTCTCTAATGTTCATAGTCTCCATTTGTAAAACGGAGTTCGTTACTCTCCTCTGTGGCCTGCCCTGAGAGGCTCTGAACATGGTACAGGTGCATGGTTGAAGTGGCCATGCCATCTGCTTCCCACTTTCTACCCAGCCTCTGCTTAGCTTTCACAGGGGTTCTATTCCTAAGCAGTTACTTTTGTGCCTAGTGCCATTTGATTCCCTGACACATTGCAATTAAGCAATTATTTTTAACTAATTGTTTAATATTTCTTTCAAGGTTTCTAAAGCAGTTTAAATGTTTTGTACCAATTTTTCATATTTTATAACAATCAGCTCAAAGAGAGATGGAAAGAAGATTACCTGCTTTCCAGTTGGATTGTGATGCTGTGAAGATAGGGAGTTTATGTGGAGAAAAAGAGAAATTCCATTCCACCCGCAGGAAAACAGAGATGATTTCTGACTAGAATAGTAGCAGATTGTGAGTGAGAGGTGGGCACTGCTGATTCTTTTACATAAATCAGACCCCAAATCCAATAAAAGAATGTCAGCTCTCGTCACTAAAGAGTGGTTTGTGAGCATTATTGAAGGAGGGCAGGAGGGATGGAGAGATGAAGGTAAAGGAAGAAAGGAAGTGAAAGAAGGGAGGAAGGAAAGTGGAAAATAAAAAAAATGCATAGGAATGCACATATTTTTTAACAACCGATTTTGAAGCAATGTCTATCATTTTGCATAATTGGCCACAGGAAACAGAGACCTTCATTTCACGGTTCCTTTCTCTTTTTTTCTGTTGCTCTTCTCTATAGATCTTCTATTGAAGACAACTTTATTGAAGAATATGTGAAAAGTATTGATACATTATTTTTTATTTCCATTAGTAGTTTTATACATCGAACATTCTCTTTGAGTTTTTTTTTTCTTTTTTTTTTTTTAATTTTTTGAGACAAGGTCTTGCTCTGTTCCCCAGGCTGGGGTGCAATGGCGTGATTTTAGCTCACTGCAGCCTCAACCTTCTGGGCTCAAGAAATCCTCCTGCCTTAGCATCCCGAGTAGCTGGGACCACAGGAACATGCCATCACACCCAGCTAATTTTTTAAAATTTTTTGGAGAGATTGGGAGGTCTCACTCTGTTGTTCAGGCTGGCCTTGAACTCCCAAGCTCATGTGATCCTCCTGCCTCAGCCTCCCAAAGTGCTAGGGTTACAGTTGTGAGCCACTGTGCCTAACCCTTTGAAGTCTTTAATGTCTTAATTTCTATACTTCAGGACTTGATCCCTGACTTCGGGAAATCAAAGTAGAATATGCACCAATGTATATTTAGGCAGAGCTGAAAACTACTTGACTAAAAACTTAGATGCTAATATGTAATAGTTAATAGTGAAAAGTCCCCTCTTAGCTGTAATTTAAGTTCTTATGAATAAATGAAGTTATTTTTCTCTTCTGGCTATTATACAGTATTTTAAAGAGATTATCTCATCTTTTCGGAGTATTTTAGCTAACGTATTGTTCAAAGGGCATGAGGAATAACGTACACAACAAGCAATATATAATAAAATGTGTACAATAAATAATATATAATATATAATAAGCAATAAACATGAGAATGCTACATATCAAGACTATGAGACTCAGCCAATGCTATATTCAGAGGTGAAGTAATAGCCTTAAATATTTTATTTCTTTGGGGGAATAAAGAAAGGATAACTACAAATAAATTAAAAGTAAAACTCTCGAAATTAAATAAACATAAAATAATCAGGAAGAAAATACTAAAGATAGAAACAGAAATGAGAAATGTAAAGATAGTAAAAGTGATGAATCAGTCTCTGGGTATAAGGAAAATCTATTTTATTTTAAATTTCACTTTGATATATTTATCATATAAATTATATTTATTTATTATATATTTGTATTTATAATATGTGATATATATTATATATAATAATGTTATTAACTTATTTATTTTGTCAGCTATTTTATTAATTGATAAAACCTTGCCAATTACAATAAAGGGAGGGGATAACACAAATAAAATTAGAAATGGTAATATGAGTTTTAGAGTAGATTCAGGGATAATAAAAATTATAAGATAATTGTGTCCTTATGTTGCAGTATGTTTGAAACCTCAGTGAAATGAAAATATTTTGGAAAAATATAAATTGACAAAATTATCTGAGAACAATTGGAAAGAAATAACTAAAGTGGTAGCCAAAGACAAAATTATGTAACTTTTAAATAAGATATTAAAAGTGGTTAAAGTGTTAAAAATATTACCTATAAAACAAAACAAATCCTGGGATCTTCAAAGGCCAATTAATTTTAAATTATTCCTAAATATAAACAAATACTGAAAACTGCAAAATTCATTTTATGATGTTAGCATCACTCTGATACCAAAAAAACGAGAAAGATAGTAATATAATAAGATTTAAAAATCTACAGACCTCTTCCATTTATATATAATTACAGAAATATAAAATAAAATAACTAAACTGTTTATAATATGAGTAGTCTTTCCATCATGGTAGGTAGGCTCAGGATACATTTGGAAAGAGGTGAGGAGGTCATTGCATTTTTTTATCCTTTGTTAGAAGAGGACTCACTGCTGGAAAAGTGGCAGACAGGTGGAGTACCTTCATCAACTCTGACAAAATAGGTGATCACAGAACCAATTAGAATGTGTTTTCAGGAAATGATTTGATTCTGGATATTTTTACTGGAATATGGGGACTGGGGTTAAAGTCAAGAAATAGTCATGCTTTATTTTGTATTGCTTACACTATTTTCAAAGTTATCATTTCACAGAACAATTATAAATCAGCATTCTGCATTAAATCCTCAATGTAAGCAGGCTAGTGCTACACTCTCTTTGAACATGGTTCAAAGAGGTAAAATTAATTGTTAGTTGCCAATAAACTTCATGCATAGTGGGCCCCTCAGTATATTTGTTAGTGATCTGGCTCATTCTTCTCTTGCCACCCTGTGTCATATCCATTTATAAGGTCTCTATCTCTCTCTTTCCCTCTGGTTCTCTCTTTTTCTCTCTTTTGATTCCCTTCTCCCCCGCTCATTCTTTGTATTGTTTGGGGAGTTTGGTGAGCAGGCTTTTGTCAAGAGAAACCTGAATGGCACCCTCCTAGAGAGGAAAAAGCTGCCTTTAAATGCCATTCTTAATTTATGGGTAAGAGCTGCTACGGTACCTGTGTGAGGTTCCCATGAGAGTTTACTAAATGTGTCTCTGCCAATACCAATGACCGAAAGAGACCTTCCATTAACTTCTGAATTAGCCAAATGGGACAGAGCTTAATCTAATATGTGTTATTTCATTTTCTAGGTTACTTGTTTTAAAGGAAATAAAGTATACTCATAGGCTGTCTAAAACTGTCCTGGGAGATGTGCATGGAAGGACTCCATCTAAACAGTATTGGCTTCTGATAAAGCTGGGTGCATGCCTGAGGGCCCAATTTAGCTTGGTGGATGCCTTTCTCACAGTAGGCAAAGCAAGTTCCTAACTCCAAAGAGCTTTGAGAGAAATTGCACATTAGTGAAAATGATGAGCGCTTGTACTGGAGTTCTAAGATACTGTGGATAAAGGGGCTTTTTTCTCTACTGATAGCTCTGCCAATACTAAACTTAAATTCTACTTGGAGGTGGCATTCCTCACAGTAGCAGATCTCTTCTCTTTGGCCTGGTATGACCAGCACTATGCACAGTCTAGCCATCATTAGAAGCAGATTGGAAACTGATGAACTGGAGCTAAAGGCTTCTGAGGAGGCAGAGTGGTACAGTGGAAGGATAATCAAACTCACTGCCTGGAGACCAAGTGTCTTTCTCATCTCCGTCGTTAATCAGCTGGGTACTGTTCAACGTAACTCCCCCTGTGCCTCAGTATCTTTTATCTTTCAAGTGGGGATATTAATATTTACCCTGTATATTTTCACAGGACCATTATATTGATCAAATGAGGTAATAAATATGAAAATGTTTTGCAAACTACAAAACACTAGACAAATTTAAGTGATTTTGAGTGTGATATGGCATATGGAATAGTCCAACAGGTTACTGAGTTCTTGTAGGTATCTTGGCAATGTCTTCTTGACTCTCTAGGATTTTCATGAAAGCAAAATTTGCTAAACAGAGCTAGATACATGCAGCTCTCTCTCTTTTTATAGCCAGCCTTCCCAACTGCCAACCCTATTCATAGGACTTAGGAATGTGCCAAGGTTAGAAGATTCAGACATGGGGTGTGAGCCATAACTTCTAAATCAGTTTTGGAAGGATGCCAGACCATCAGTTTAGAAAAGTGATTTGAGTGTCTTCCTAAGGACAAAGAAATACTTAGAGAGTCTATCTTTCAAGAACATGTTATTGAAACTTGGAATAAAGAGTTTTAAAACGTGAGAACACTAGTATTAAAGGCACTCTAAACCAATTACAGTGTATTTACTTGGATTTCAATGGAGGGGATACCCTTTTTATTATTTGTAAGTCTCAAGAACATTAGAAACACTTCACTGAAGACAATATAATATCCAAATATGAAGTAGGCTGTTGTTTGTCCATTTAATCCACTTTCTTGCTTTTACCTTCTTTGCGAAGGCAGAAGAGCACTTATGTGTTTTTAGAATGCATGATGTACACTCAGTAGGCAAGGTACTTTTGGAGAGTTTGCACCCTTTGTCCCCTGGAAAAAACATATTATATTGTACTTCCCTTACCCTAGGGTTCCATGAAGATGCTGTGTTTGAATAGGATTCACAATAGGGACAGGTTTGTAACCTTGAACCCTTAGCACAGAAAGGCCTAGTTGTTTCACAGGGCCTAGGGCTCATTCTACATAAATCAAGGGGAGCTTCCCTAAGACCATGGATGGAAACCATAGAGGCCCAAAGGAAACTTGTGTTCAGAGATGCCCAGTATTTTAAATATCTCTTGTTAACAATGCATTGACTACTTTCAGCTAACAAAACACTCTCTGCATTTTAGTGCCCTTTAGCCAGAGGATGGTAATTAAACAGAAAGAATATCCACTTTTTCCTGGTAGGTTCACTGTTTGGGTTTGAAATGAGTTTGGGGACCCAATGGTGCATTGTTGAGTCTCTATATGTCCTTATACACATCAAACTATGGGGTTTTCCTCATGCCAGCCACAAATGCCTAGTTGGATGGGCTTTTTATTTGGCTCCTATTTTTCTTCCTGTTGTGGAAGACTCTCCTCCTGCTTAGACAGGCTCTGACAATCTGTCATGCCCATAGAATGGTTCTTGGTGCTTTCCTGTTCTAGGACAACTTCCTAAGCCTTGCATGTCACAGTGGTACTTGGGTTCTCCTTCAGTATGATGGACACATTCTCCTCATCAACACTTGAGTTGAGTCTTGGGACTAAGTCTTCTGGGTCTCACTTTGTAGACTAGCTCCTCAGAGACTGCAATGAGATGGAGTGGGTTTCTTCCAGGCCTTCTGAGACTCTATGGGTTCTCTCCCTCTTGCCAACTGCCTCTTCTCAGTGCAATGCCAAGAACAAGAGCTTGTTGTACATTTTATTCCTACCTCTACCATTACTACTTCCTGTGAACTTAAGCCAATTACTTCACACCCCTGTAGCAAGATATCTTCCTACCTTCTTAGGCCAGAAGGGTAACTGCTCTAACACAGAGATCCCCCAATTATATTGACTTAAACCCAGTAAAACAGAAGGGCCAAAATTGGTTTCAAGTCAGTAGAGGGCATTCCTGTTCCACGAAGACATTCAAAGACCCCAACTGACAGAAGCTCTGCCATCAGCAACCTGTGGTTTCGAAGGTCACAATGCATCAGTGGCTTCAGGTGACAGAAAGGGAAGTTCCCATGGGGAATCTGCGCTGTCTTCTTGAGGCCCTGGCCCAGAAGTGGCACAATCACTTTCTTTCACACTCTGTTGACAAATATGAGTCATAAAACCATGTAGGAGTTGAGGTGGGAAGCTGAGAAATCTACTTCCCAGCAACAACTCCAAAGTATGGAAGGAGGAACAGAAATTGTGTTGCATAGCTGCCTCTGCCATATACCAGGCTGGGTTACTTGGGTTACTATCAAATGTGGTAGTTATGAGTGTGGGCTGATTTTGAATGGGCCTCTGCCAGTCACTAGTTTTGTGATGATGAACAAGTAATTTAAACAATCTAGGCTTCAGTTGCTTTATCTTTAAATGGCGGCAGTTTAGGACCTATCGGACAGAATTATTGTGAGGAGCAAGTGAGTTAAGTCATGTGGAGAACCTGGGACAGAACATGACACCTATAACTACTCAATGAATGTTAGTGGCTTTTATTTCTCACTCAACCACTTTGAGATCCTGTTAAGACTCAAGATTGAGTCTTATGGCAGAATGAGATATTTATTTCCTTTGTGATGGCTTTTGAAACAGAGTACTTCTGTACTTAATGGTGGCTTTAATAATAACAATGCCTACTTCTTGAGGTCATAAACAATCTAAAATTTCAAACACAGATTCAAGGAAAGAGACAGAGACAGAAATGGGGTGAGGGGGAGTAGAGAGACTCACCATTGGCCTGGCTGGATCTTTCTTATATCTGTGTTGCAGTGGAGATTCTTTCTATCCAGCCTTCCTTCTTTCCCCCTCTCTTTCACAAGGTCAGACTTATGGCATGGTCTGAAGACTCACTCTGCCTTCTCCAGCTCTGTCCCCTTCAGCCTTGACAAGTACTTCCTCATTAAATCTCTCACACATTTAATCCCATCCTGGCATCTGCGTCTCAGAGAACCCAAACTAATACACAAAATAAATATTTCACGTGTATGTACTCAACATAAAGTGAGTCTCTCCCCAGTTGTCCTAACTCAAACCACAAGAAACTCTTTCTCCAATTTTTTTGTAACTCTACTTAAAGCTCATGCAGATACTTTATTTATGTGGGCATTGGCCAGTTTTCTATACCACTTAGTGCTACCTTTCTCAGATTATAGCCTATAAAACATATGCAAGTAGATGGAAAAACCTGCCATACAGCTAGACGAGATGATTTTGGAGCGTAAAAAAGTGTGAGCTTGTGTCAGGAAGTGCCTCTGCAGGGCAGCACAGGGATGTGCTGGAGGAGTATCCTGCTGGCTTCTCCGTGGCTCCGTGTTTTGAGGAATAGCAAGTGAGTACCTGCCTGGCACTATGACAGGTACTGGGACTACAGGAGCAAGGCCCACTCCTTGCCTTCAGAGTGCTTACAGCCTGGCCGGACATGAACAGCTAAACAGAAAGTTGCAATTCCAACTGATGGGTGCTAGGATAGGATGGTGTATTAGTCAGGGTTCTCTAAAGGGACAGAACAAATAGGATAGATGAATATATGAAGAAGAGTTTAGTAGCATTACTGACTCACATTATCACATGGTGAAGTCCACAACAGGCTGTCTGCAAGCTGAGGAGCCAGGAAGCCAGTCCAAGTCCCAAAACCTCAAAAGTAGGGAAGCCCATTGTGCAGCCTTTACTCTGTGGCCGAAGGCCCAAGAGCCCCTGGCAAATCACTGGTGTTAAGTCCAAGAGTCCAAAACCTGAAGAACTTAGAGTCTGATGTTCGAGGACAGGAAGCATCCAGCATGGGAGAAAGATGGAGGCCAGAAGACTCAGCAAGTCTAGTCCTTCCGCGTTCTTCTGCATGCTTTATTCTAGCTGCACTGGCAGCCAATTAGATTGGCCCCACTCAGATTGAGGGTGGGTCTGCCTCTCCCAGTCCACTGACTCAAATGTTAATCTCTTTTGGCAACACCCTCACAGACACACCCAGGAACAGTACTGTGCAGCCTTCAATCCAGTCAAGTTGGCACTCAATATTAACCATCACAGATGGCTGCCTAGGAAAGGTGAAAACTGAGCTGCATTGCAGAGGTGAAGTCAAAGTTGCCCAGAGGCAGATGGGAGGGAAAGGGCACTCCAGGTGTCAAAGCAGCTGGTGTCTGGGTTTGAGGCAATGACAGCATAGAGAAAGTCTAGTCATTCTGCCTGTGGGGCCAGTGGAGCTGGTGGGGATAGATGGGGGCCTGGGCAGTAAACAGCTTTTGTGTTCTCCAAGAGTGAGAGCTCTGATAACTGCTCTAATATAATGGGGTTGATACCGTCATGGGGGCTCATGGAGCATGTTGCTATTGTCGTTGGAATGGCAGTGTACTTCAAACATCTATAAACTCTCTTAGAACAACGACATGCATTCATCAGCAATGACTTAATGAAAATTATAATAAATGGAGAAAATAAATATATTTTTTCACCTTTAATTAGCACCTCTTGGTGACTCACTTTGCTGCTTTCTTTTATTTGTTCTGAAAATATATCCATTAAGCCTCAAGAGATAAGGTATGGTGCAGGGTACATGGGTAGATACTAGCATCTTAGACTTCGTTAATGATTTTACATGCAACTAATCCTTTAAACCAATTAAATAAAATCATGCCGTCAGCCACACATGTGCCCCTCTAGCCTTTACCAGTGTATATGAAGGAGTCCTGCTTCTTTATTCCCACCTCTTCTCCTGCTCTTCCTTTTCCTCTCCTTCCCTTATCTTCTTCCTGCTTCTTGGTCAGCCTTCCTCCCAGCCAGGCTCTGAATAGGCAGTTTCTAGTTGGTGCCCCTGGGGGTATGGAAAGGCTCTTGGCTCTGCCTGTGCTTTCTTCAGGCCAGACAGTTTGACCACACTTGGTTACCACCCTCTGAACTCTTGAGTTTCAGTGCCGCGTGGGGTACCTGGAAACATGAACCTGGACGACCTCCCCTCCCACACCATGGACATGCCCTACCCATAATATTTCTCCCTATCTTCCAGTTCCTGAGAACAGCCTGCCCTCATCCCAGTTCTTTGAAAGATCAGATAATATGTAGTTCAGTGTAGCAGCTATGGAAGCCTAGTTGCATGTACCTACCCAATGATATAGATACATTACAGACTCTTCTGTGGCCTTTTTGAGTCAGCTGACTCAGAAGAGCTTCTAAAGGTTTCCTGTAGGGACTTGCTGCTGTTAAGACTGCCCCAAACAGGGGGCTCAAATCTTTCAAGTTCAATCAACCTCATTAGGCAAACCCAGAGGTATAAAAAGCTGTGTTTACAGTCAAAAAATAGAGATCATTGGTTTTATCAGTGACATGCTTCTAAAATAGCAGACACCTTATGTGTAAAAATATTGTTTCACTTCCACTCAACTTTTCCAGGAATGTGTGTGTCACGCAAAACAAGACACACCTGTATAGCCTCTGAAGGGTGCAGGTCCTGTCTGCTGCTTCATTCTCTCACTACTGAAAATAAATGTGTTAAAGACTCGCCACACATAGGGATATTTTATTTTAAGCTAATTGGACACAAATAATTTTAATTTGGGTTATGATCCAGATGAAACTGTAAATGAACTTTTATTTTAAGCCAAATCTATCTGTCTAAGTGGCCCCACCAAATTTTTTTCTGCCATTGAAGAGCATGCTCCTTCTCACCCTTTTGGATTCTGCTAGCACAGATATTCTTTAAAAAACAGGTAGGCTTCTCCCGTCTATGTGGTTCTTCTTTGTCTGCCAGGTGCTGTTGAAGGGCAAAGGGCATTTTAAAGCATTGGTCTTCACATAATGCTACCACCTTGCTCTTAGCTTCTTCCATCACCACATGAAAGTTGCGGTTAAAAAACACACATCAAAGAGCAAGTCCCATTGAAAAGGCGAGAGCTGCCTGCTGAGCTGGCATTCAGAGCCTGGCTTTTGTTTCAGTGGCGACTCTGACTGTCTTCCAGCGAGTTTCCTGTTAACTCTGGTGTGGGTTCTGACTCGCTCTTGATGATATTGGAGTGTGTGTTTGTGGCACTCACTTTTAATCAGTGCATTTGAGTTTCTGAAGCAAGAACTTCTTTCTCCAGCAGGTTGAAACTTTTGAATGGAAACATCATGTTTGGGCCAGATATGTGTTTAACTTGGGGATATAAATTTTAAATCTGGGTCCTCAAACCTACCATGAATTTTAGGAAGGGAGATTTCGGGCTTTTTTTCCCCCATTTATTTCTTGTTTGATAAATATGTCCATCTTTTTGAGAGAGAGAGGCTGCCATGAAGGAGTTATGTGGGAATCATGGCAAGAGGCTGCTCTCTGGCTGTCTGCATCCAACTCAGTTCCCCCTGTCTTGCCCTGACCCCCTGTTTTACCTGTAAACCAGAGGGTGTGAGAGATTGACTCTCAGCTAGCCCAGCCACTGATTTGCAACCAGTGGGCACCTGCTGCAAGTTCAGAAGGTTGGGCTGAAGTGGGAACTGCATTATCCACAGATATTTACAAGTCTGACAACTTCATGCATATCTCTTATGAGATTGCCTGACCAGCCATAGCCATACCTGGTTAAAAGGACCCTCACTTACTATATCCTTGCCGATAGGCTGCCATTTATTGTGCATCAATACCCAGGATTCCAGAGCACCATTTGCTTAAGTGGCAGCCAGACCAACATTAGGCCCAGTTGTGAATGAGTCAAAACATATCTTCCCCAGCTCGCTCTTTGTCCTCTCTTACTTTCCTCCTACTCCATCCTCTCATTGACTTTTAGACCCTTTTCACTCCATAAATAACAAAGGTTCATGGAGCTCTGTGAATAGCTTAGCTTGGTTAATGTTTTCCACACTTGTTCTACAAAGAGCCTTTTACCCAGTCCCTACCCTCTGCACCAAGCAGAGCAGTGCTTCCATTCTTATGTGTTTTTATATATTGAACATGAATTAAAGGTTGACTTAAGGAAAGAAATCTACTGCTAGAATGTCTTTGAAATCTACCACTTCTATTTAAACACACTCATCCTACAGATGAGGAAAATAACTTCCAGGGTGGGATCAGGGCTCAGAACATGATACCCCAAAATATGATACCTTGACATGCTGAGTATTTTTGAGCTGAAGGAGACAGGAAAGCCTCTGAAGCAAGAAGGTCTCTCTGACCTTCTCCTGCTCTTCTGTCTCCCACTCCTCTTACTCCCCTAGAGCAAACCATAAAACCTAGAAAGATCACTCTCTGACCTACCTCCTCTGAAAATTGATCATCAGACCCTCATGCGACAGTTATCCTGCCCTGTACCTGGAGGGAAGGAGTACTACCACAGAGGAGCCAGGAAGAATCTGAGCAGACAGGCCTTGCTGGGTTTCCCTGCCTTAGTCTATTACCATTAGACTATACACTTTTAACCAATTATGTTTTCTACAACTATCTGTGTTTTCCCCCAAACTTAACATAAAACATGCAGTTTTCCCTGAGTCTTTTCGTCTGCATTTCTGAAGGCTCCTGGTTTCACATAAAACATTGATAAATAAATTTGTTATGCTTCTCTCTTGCTGACACATCTTTTGTTATAGGAGTGCTGGCCGTGACTGCTGTGGTGCGTAAGGAAAAGGTATTACCTCTTTGCCCCTATAGTGGTTATGGTACTTAAACAAGTTAATTTGGTGGCTGAGTCTGAATTAGAACTCAGATTTCCCTAGTCATCCTCCTGTGCATTTTCATTCGTATCACCCTGTATAAAATATTTGTTCTCCCTGGGGCTTATGCGTTTTGAAAAGAGTCAAAATTTAGGTTCATATTCAATGATAGACTTTAGCAAACTCTACAAATGAGCTTTAGTCATAAGCCACAGTTGGAGGGTTCATGTGCTTGCATATGCAATGGTGGCCTTAAAACCCTCCCAGAGACTGAAATTGCAACATATTTGCTGGCCTCTTGCTCTATCCCCAAGGGCGGCAAACCTGGTGCTTCCTCTACCTTTCTGTGGCAGGCATCACAAGGATTTGCTATGCTGGCTAATGTCCCTGTTGTCTTCTATGAGAAGCTCTAATCAGAAATAGCTTCTGTCTGCAGTCGTTATTATGCCTCATGAGAAAATTCAGGGGCCATCTTCCTGAATGAGTAACGTGAACAGGAATGAAGTTCTCCAGAAGGTCTCAGGTTGACTCCATGATATCACAGTGCACCCACTCTATGCAAAGCTTCTCTGGGATTTCCATAAAAATTTCCACTATCTAAATCTCATTTGCATTCCTTTCTTAATTGATTCTGAACCAGCCCTCATTCCCTTAGTGATACCTCCATAAAACAACTTATTTCCACTCTTGAATAGCCACGCTAACAAGAATGGGTGATTTCTACCTGTGGAAGAAAAAGTATCATTCCAGTGTAAACTGGATTTGCCGCCCACGTTGTAGAAATTCTGCTTTCTTGAGTAATTGAGGTGCTCTTTTGAGATTTTTGTTGCCATTCCTAAGGTGAACTGTGCACTTAAAGATCTTGCTATACATTTGTATAATGCTTTATCAATTTATAAAGCATTATGAAATGCATTATTTTGTTGAATTCTTGATATGGTTTGGCACTGGGTCCCCACCAAAATCTCATCTTGAATTCTACTTCCATGATTCCCATGTGCTGTGGGAGGGACCCAGTGGGAGATAATCGAATCATGGGTGTGGTTTTCCCCATACTGTTCTTGTGGTAGTGAATAAATCTCACGAGATCTGATGGTTTTGTAAAGGGGGTTCCGCTTTCGCTTCTCTCTCATTCTCTCTTGCCACTGCTATGTGAGAAGTACCTTTTGCCTTCCGCCATGATCGTGGGGCCTCCCTAGCCACATGGAACTGTGAGTCCATTAAACCTGTTTTCCTTCCCAGTCTCAGGTATGACTTTATCAGCAGTGTAAAAATGGACTAATACAATTCTAAAAGCCAAACTGCCAAGTAGCTGAAGCAGGTGGAGCCAGGATACTAAGGGTTGGAAAAGGGAGATCACCTTTCAAGAGGGAACCCATGTTTTCTGACTCCTCAGTACCAAGCTCCACATGTTTGGGAAGCAGTCACTTGCTGGAGAACTTGGGAAAGAGATATACTTGCTAGGAGTTACATGAAAACTGTAGTTATTGCACTGTTTCCAGTATCCAGCAAGAGGCAAGAGAGTTGGAGTTGGCTTTCCTTGCATACAACCCTTAACCAGCAAAGCATCCCCACAGTCCCTTACTCTCATCACCTAGGTGCCATTTCCCTTCCACTTCAGCCCTACCTTCCCTAATTTTCTGACCTCCTACCTTATTAACTCTTGATTTTAGAATGGTGGAATAGTACACCCTTTGGGGGCTGATGCTGATGTGTGCATTTACCTGATTGCCTGCCTGTATTTTCATTCATGCATTTATTTAAAAATATCTAATCACCTTCTACTGTGTACCAGGCACTGTGTAGCAGGAAGAAGATGGAGATACAATGTTGAACAAAGTAGACTTTCTGCCCCCTTGGAGCTTGCAATCCTGAGGGTGAGGGGAAGATATTCTATTACTCAAAGGTTTTGCTTGCAAGCAATAGACTCTAAAATTGGTTAACTAGAGCAGAAATGGAATTTATAAATTCTCACAGCACCAATGGGAATCTTAATAACCAAATTCAAATTCATAAATAGGCAAGCTCTAAAGGAAGCTTGGTAGCAGGGCCACATAGCCAAGGTAGCGCTGCAGAACAGTCTAGGTTGTACCTGTCACTGCCACTGCTGTCCTGGAAATTTGGTGCCCTTGCAGCTTCATTCTCATGGCTGTCACCCTGAATAGTTTCTCAATTTTCTCTTTGTTTTGCTTTATTTCCTTAAGGTTTAAAATCTCAAGTAAGGATGTTAGATTGTTTGAGTCTACACTCTAGCTACATGCAGTATTAAAAGGGATAACTGGGTCCTTTCCTTTCTGTAGTGGGAGGTGAAGGTTTTCTCTTCAACAGCACACACCTCTGAGTTTATTCCTCAATCCTTGGGATCTCTTGCAATTGTGAAGGGCCATGTGAATCATGATAAATTTAAAAATCTTATACTAAGAGTAATGCGTGGCCAGTGAAGTGCTTCAAGGTTGAAAGTAATATGGGTCAGTTTACATTTGCAAAAGAAATTTCAGTGGCATTACAGTAAGTCTGGAACAGAAACCAGACAGCAACATGCTTTCCACAAGAAATTTTAAACCAACTAAATGATTTATATTTGAATTATAACTTGTAAAATTAAAGTAATTCATGCATATTATAATAATTTGGGGTAATTAATGCTAGATGCTGTAACAACCCCAAACTCTCATTGGCTTATTTTCTTATTCACATAAAGTCCAGTGTAGATGTTGTTAGTTAACAACAAGTGGTCTTCAAAATAGTTCTTCAAGGACCCAGGTTCTTTGCATCTGATGGATCCATCATCCCTTCTGGCCTTTGATTCTTTTTGCTGGAGACTTGGTATTTGATCAGGGATCAGGGAAAGAGAGAGGGTAAAAGATCATGTGATACATTTTTATGGGCTATGCACAGAGACGCTGTTATCACTTTCTCTCACATTCCATTGGCTAATACTCAGTCACATGGCCATCCACCTTCAAAGGAGGCTGGGAAATGTAGTCTGTGTGTCCAGGAAGTAAAGGGAACAGGTTTTGATGAACACATAGCAGCCTGCAACGTACAAATAGCTTAAAAATTTATAGGCACAGAGGCTTACAACAAAAAATTGAAAAATAAACTCTTTTCTACCTCCTAGCCCATTGGCAGTGCCCTGAGTAATGTACCTCTGATTCCTTTTTTAGAGCATGTGACAGCAAGATTGCCTCTATGTTTAGCTCAATGTAACATACATGTTGTGAAGCAGGAGAAAGCATTACATTTCAGATTATTAGAGTAATTCCAGGTCAAAGATCCAGAGTTCAGTGAGGTGTGTCACCCACCAGCCATTTGGGTTGAAGCATCAAGGTGTCCCCATCACTTTAGGGCAGGGTTTCTCAGTCTCAGCACTACTCACATTTTGGAATGGGTAATTCTTTGTTGATAGGGGCTGTCCTATATATTGTAAGATGTTTAGCAGCATTCCTTGGCTCTACCCACTAGGTAGTAGTAGTAGTAGTACCCCTCCCCTTACTTGTGACAATTGAGCATTCCCTGACATTGCATATGTATCCTGGAAAGTAAAATAACCCCTAGTTAGGAACCACTGCCAGAGAGGTTGAACCTGGGAGACTCAGAGAGAAGAAGACAGATTCTGTCACTGTGGGCCTCAGATGATGGCACCACTGAGTTTTAAAGGTAAGAATTCCCCTCAGCTTGAGTTGTAGAGAAAGATGAGGATGTGAAAGAATACCATTGCTGAGGTACTTTGGTGTGAAAGACGCAGTTAGGTACAGCACACCATCATATTACTTTAAGATCCAGGAATGACTTTCTTCGTGACTCCAGCCAATACTATTCTCCATGCCTCATCCTTATCACATCTACTAGTCAGAAACATGGCAACACTTGAACAGAAGTTGGGAGTTTAAGGACAAAGAAAGCTAGGTATCAACTTGATTTATCTAGCTGAGGTAGACCAGACCTTTTTTTTTTTTCCCCCTGAAGTGCAGCCCCCTGGTGGATAAAGATTTACTCTACATCTCTGATTCAGCTGCCCTGTGGAGACAGACATTAAAGAAGAATTAAGAATGAAGACAAGAATATTGATCTCCCTCACCAATCTCCTCTAACCGATACCTCTTAATCACAGAACAAATTGGAGTCCCGGTAAACTACTTTAATGAGCATCCATTCTATTTCTTAGTTCACATGATGGGAAGAGAAGCTATCTTGCTGTCTCCCTACCTGGTTTCTCTTTATTTGTGTTTGTAATTCACTTTCTCATACCATGTCTATATTTCATTTTATGTATACATGCATATATATATATACACATACACACACACACACACACACACACATATATTATTTCACATTTTCATCTGTGTTTTGCTGTAACACTGGAGGTTTATTATTTTAGATTGTTGTGAGGCACCTGAATATTTTGCAAGACAATGAGCCTCTAGAATCTTGGTATCCAAGGAACTAATTTCGTGCAGCAAGAGAAAAAAAAAAGGTAAGCAAAAGAAAACAGTAACTATACATCTGGATTCTAGACAGTGTTAGGATGGCATAACTTGTTCCCATCTGAGTGAATTCAGTGGATTTGTATTATACAGTGCCTGCTTAAAACGTGTAGCCAAATCAGAGCCATTCTTTAAATTAAAAACAAACCCCATGGCTTTTGCAGCACTGTGTGCCTTGTATTTGCAACTCTGTTCAGTGAAACAAACTCTTGTCCCAAGAGAGTGGGCAGACAGGAGAGCTCTTAGTGCACAAGCATAAATTTCTTCCTCCTTCCAAATGATATTTTATAAAATTGTAAAGGAAATTGACACCTGAAAGTGCCTGGGTAATGCCATGTCATAAACTTTGTACTGTAAATTGGAGAGCTGGGGTAGACTGTGTTTTGAGCAGCAGGCTACGTACCCAGAAACTGGGCCTATGTTCCCAGGCCTGTCCCTGGCTTTGTGTCACCCAGGGGAAATCAGTACTTTTGCCAGGGCCTGGATTACCCATCTCCAAAGTGTAGATAGATATACACTTTTGCTCCCTCCTTGTCTCTGTTCCCAGCTGTAACTTGCATTTTTGGTATTCAGAAAATAGATGAGCCAATGTTTATGAAACACTTCGAAACCCTAAGTAAAATAATCTTATGCAAGCCTAAGTTGTTATCAACTGTATTGTTATCCTTATCATTACAATGTACATGCTGTTGCATATTTGCAAATTACATACAGTAATTACCTGAATACATACAGTAATTCAAGTACCATTACTAGTACTTGACATTAGTATTTCATATCAACTTGCAGGGCAATAAATACTGCTGGGATGCTTTCACTTGACAGTTGATTATTTATTGGTAGCTCAGGATTTGTTAGACACTATAATTTAAGAGAATTTTAAACTTTGTCTGCCAGCAACTTCATAATCTCAGATATCCTGTGTCTGGTGATAGGCCTGTGCTGTAGGAAGTTCCCAGAATATTAAAGATTCAAGAAACCTGTAAGTGTATCTCCTTCAATGCTTCCATTTTGCAGATGAAGAGATGAGGTCCAGAAAGATCAAGTGACTCTCCCAAGCTGTGTAGTTAATGTGTCAGGACTGAAACCCAAGTCTCTGAATGTGCAGTTAATTGCTCTTTTCATTGTCTTGAACTATATGGCAAAGGCAAAAAAGAAGAAAAAGGGGGTACAGAGCCCAATTGTTTTGCTTGATTGCGTGATTCCCCAATAGTGACAGAGTTACACTGTTAAGGATTTAGAAAATGTCCCCATGGTACCTTAAAAGACTAACTGAAGTTGACAAGAAAGATGAAAACCAAATGTAACCCATGGGTTAGAGACATCAGTGACATGATTAGAAGACTATGGGATGAGTTTCCTTAGAGAGCTGTGGCATAATCTTCTAGTGTGAAGTTGTACTGCTGTCTTTCTGGCAGGCAAGTAGGTGGACTCCATTTTCTATCACCTTTACAGCTGGGATATAAATGAAGATTGTCACTTCCTGGCACTTAGTTGACCCTTTGCATAGAAAACACAACAAATTGGGTGTTGATGATGGTGGAGGTGATTATTTGGGTGAGTCCACATAGAGGAACTAGGCAGCCACATCACTGCCTATGGAGCAGAGATTCCTACTTACTGTGTGGGGACATTTATCATTGACAGATATTCTCCAGGTGGTCCATGGGCTGATATTTTTAAATCATATTAATGTTTTCTTCATAATACAGAATTGTTTCTGGCACCAATTAATAATGTGATTATGATATTTCATACAACTCAGACAGTCCCAGTTTGATTTTTTATCAGTGGCAATCTATCTTCTCATTATTTTTCCTCGTAGGGAATTCTTGTTTTCCAGTGTGTCATCAGAGATCACTCTCACTTTAGTAGGCTGAGATTTGAAAAGAAGTACTTATTTTTAGTAGAGAGATCCATATTATTCCTAGGAGCATGGAAGAGTAATGACACAGCATGATGCTGAAGTATGGTATAGTGTTGGAAATACTAGACTAGAAGTCAAAGGATTGGGAAACTCATCCCGACTTACATACCAAGTAGTTTTGTGATATGACAACTCACTTAACATTTCAGGGCCTTACCTTTCTCTTCTGTAAAATGACATAATTTGATTAAGTCAATTCTAAAGCCCCCTCTAGTCATAAAATTATAGGGATCTAAGTGAATTGAAAATTGATGGCACAATTTAGGAGAAAACTTCCTGGGTTATGGAAGATATTATTATAATTCTTGTGAAACACACAAATTACACCAAATGACCCTAGAGCCAGAGCCCTGCAGCCCTGAAGCTCCCAAGGTGTGAGAGGATAGCTTTATGTTTTTATGCTGTACACAAACCACCCTTTTCCCCAAAACAAGAAGCACATTTTCAACCATAGCTGTTGGGTAATTACATACCCAAACACTAGCCATCATAAGCTATATTGGTGTTTTGTACACCATGCTATGGAATGGTGTACCATCTAAGTTCTTTCTGATGGTGTCAGGAAGACTGGGGAGGAGAAAAGAGACAGGAGGGGAGATAGAGAGAACTAAAGCATAGGCTTTCTGAGGTGGGTGTTGCTAGAATGTCCTTTAAAAAACATCTATCTAGTGTAATGGAAAATTATTAAAGCTGATACTCATGTGGCTAATAGGATCCATCTCGTTTGTCGTAGTCTCATTCCACATACATTAGAAACACACTGCAACCCAGTGGGGCAGCTCTTTGATCTGCCACTAACTTGATAACACCAAGTATTTGTCCCTTATTAATTGTAGCCATACAGTGTAATTTTTTACTGCAGCACAGAAATCCTATGGAACAGGTGTTCCCTTATTGCCCAATGTGACTGCCATAAGATTCCATTGTGTGTGTGCTTCTAGCCCTGAGATTTGAGGAATTAAAGCAGTTTAGGGAGGAGATGTCAAGAAACCTCTCTTGTTTCTGCAAAGCCATCTTAATCATGCCTGCCTCTTTTCTTCAGGTTGATTTACATAGCAGCGTGACATTTCATCATTAAGGAAGCAGGTCCCAATCTTCTGTGTCTTTTTCTTGGCTTGTCTGGCAAGCAATTCTCTTTTGCAAGCTATGAAATCCTTAAGGAGGACTTCCTGGCAAGGGAAAAATCCTCAGTCATCCAACAGTCTCTCACTTTTCTATTTTAAATCTTGGTCATGCACATATGGTTGGGCATGTGTGTCTAAAAATTTCTTCCACATTGACTAACTTGAGCTATTTAATAGATTGTGCTGGCCGTGGGCCTCTGCAGCAAATCCTGTGATGCTCATCTCCTTCCCTTGGGAGGCAGAAGACGGCTTCATGCATTTGCCTTTGTGCTTTCCTTGTAATCTCCCTCTTTTGCCCTGTTAGAACATGAAAGTTAAAACCCGCTTCTTTGCTCATTTTCTTGCAATTAACATTGTCCCTGCACTCCTGCTTCCAGCAGAAAAGTGAGATCTCCAAATATCTTGGTTAATGTCCCAGCAACTGCACTTTCCCTAGGGCTTTGCTAGGTCTGTTCTAACACATTTCTGAGGACAGGAGAGCTTGAGGACATTTATACCCTATGCTCTTCTTTAAGGCCTGATTTTGTGTGTGTGTGTGTGTGTGTGTGTGTGTGTGTGTGTGTGTGTGTGTGTGTGTGAATATAATACGTCTCAACCTCAACTTGCTCCGAAAACTCGGAATTCCTTCCTTGTTTCTGAACAGCCCCAACCGCAGACCTGGGGCCTATTATATCCTCTGAAATGATGGTTAAAGTAAATTTGGAGACAAAGCCAGGTTCTGGCAACTTTGTTTCTTCTTCCAGGTTGTAGGAAATGGGGCCAAAGGAATACAGGAGAATGGTGGGGGCATGCACCCTAAGCCAGTCCCCAGCTGTGCCTCTTCCAGGCATGAAGCCCAAACCCCCATGGTTTTCTCAGCAATTTAGCAACTCAGAGAAACTGGCTAAATGATACTCTGTGATCCAGAAGAATGACTTCTCTGCCAGAAGGTGAACAGTTCTGCCTTCCCAGAGGAGACTATGCCTAAGAAGACAAAGAGCAATAATAACAATAACAACAGCAACAACAACATAATAATACTAGCATGGGGGATGAGGAGTGGTTTAGAAGCTTGCAGAAATTATCCACCCCCACTCCCCCATTTTGTCACATTCTGTGCCTAGATAGTTTGGCAATGTCTTAAAGCTCAATGCTGCTGTAAGAATGGTGTTATTATTCTCCTGCTGGGTGGCCCCAGAAATTTCATTTTTTGTAGATTGTTAAATATGTCCCCCGAAGTTTATCACAAACAGCATGAAGGAATAAAACTCCACGTGGCTGGTATTCGGTGGATCTTCCTCCCCACTGAATGACAAGCCCTTAAGTAAAAAAAGTCAGAAGAGTATGTGATAGATGGGAATATCGGGCTTACCTTCTTGGAGGGGTGCCTTGGCAGTGCACATGGTTTCAAACTTTATATAAAAATAATACTGCTGCAGTAAATGGGAAGAACATGTTGTCGTTTTTGGATTCCAGACAAAGGCAAGAGTAAACATGCATTAAAATGGAATCTTTATTTTTAACTTACCTTTCTCTTTCTAGAAATCACATCAAAATCAGATGACACATAATACTGCATACCTTTTAAGGATGAACCAACCTCCCAGTATAATTTGCAAAATTATTACATTTTCTACTGCTAGTCAGATGTATAATGTCTCAAGGCACCACCACCATTTCATTTTGATTCTTAGAGCTCAACTTTGTTACTAATTGTTGATTCTGACTTCATTATGCATTTAACTACTCTTGTTTTGTTGTGATCTCTGGAATGAGGATATTTCAGTAATGTAGCCCCCTATTTTCCTTTATCTCATTATGTTTCCTCACCTCTTAGGGAGCATTTTCTTATTTTGCGTCTCTCATTTTGATCCTAGTTTGATGCTCTCTAAATCCAGGCTTGCAAACTAAAGTCATCAGTACCGAGAGCGTCTGGGGCACGAGACATCACAGAAATGGGACACACATTTAATGGTTGGCTTTTAAAAGTGTAAGAGCCATTGTAGAGAGGACTTGGGGAAGAGCCACCTGTAATTTTTCTTCTGTTTCACTTCTCTCCCTCTGACTGAGAGGGAGGAACACCCAGATAGTGAGTCCAGACTCAGGATTTCTCAACATGCTGGTTGGGGTCTGCTCATTATGAAAGGCCAAAGAATGGAGTAGAGAAATAAGCACTACCTCAGAATCCTGGTGAGGTGTTTTAGATTCCGCCATGTTAACAGTTGATCCTTGCATAGCCCTCGTCAGGCGCTGTTGTGAGAGCTTTACCTGGGTTCCCTCTTTATGCCTCTTGACAATGCTATGAGGAACTCTTACTCTCTTACCTATTTTACCAGTCAGGAAATGGAGGTAGAGCATGGCTATGTAACTTGATCAAGTTACAGAGCAGAGTTAGCCCATCTGGCAACAGAGGCCAGAACAATCACTCTGCTCTGCCACCTTTATGCACCACACCTACCCCAATGCAATGATGGGAAGAAGCTTGTAAGTTAAATGGTGAATGTTAAAATGCACTGCCCTTTGACTACCAAGACAACACAGGTATCTTCTTTCCATCCATAATGTATGGAGCTTAATTTTTATTTTTCCTGTTTGTGTTGATTCTCACTGCTCACTTCCTAAGACCATCTTGGGATCATTAGCACTCTTTTATTTTTATTTTCTGACACTTTCCCAGCAGTACAAAAACGAAGTTCTTAGGTATAGAAAATTTCATTCTGCAAAATAAACACACTCACATTAGAATCAAATGTATAATCTTGGATTTGTTAGTACCACGTGTTACCTAACATGGCTGTCCAGCTCAGGTGATAAGAAATTACCTGAAAACAGTTTGATGCCTCCCTCACCACCCTGTATGTAAATTCAGTCATGTACAGTATAGCAGAAGATGCAAAAGTAGAATACATTGTTCAGAATTTGGGGCTTTTATGAAAATTAAAATTTGATGCAAACACTGGAGAAAGTGATTAATATTAATTCTCGTAGATATTTATTGATCCTAACTGTGCATATGGAACTACACTAGATGAGGCAGGGAATATGAGGATACATAAATAAGGGTCCCTTCCTTTGGGGAATCATAGACTAATTGGGAGACATAATGGAAAACGAAGGGCCACAAAATAAAAATTGAAAGTTACAAGAAAGTAAGTAAATATAATAAGTTACTATATCTGAATGGCTTAGAAATTTCTCTGAATTCAAGAGGTAAGGAAAGAGACAAGGAAGTAAAACATTTATTATGAAACTAAGCTGTTCCAGATGCTTTTTTATGTGTGTTTTATGTAATTATCACACCCGCCTTACAAGGCAGACATGATTATTTCCTTATTTTATGGATGAAGATGACAACTGATCCAAAAGAATGCCTGGCCTGCCAGAAGGTGAACAATCCTGGCTCCTCAGTGACTCCTACCATGGTTCACCTAAGTATGCAGGGGTAGATTTAGATTTTTGAAGCCAGGCCTTTAGTAAGAGTAATCAAGGAAGGCTTCCTGGAAGGGGTGTGCTGATCCAGACAGACAGTATGTGGGCAGGGAGAAATCAGGGTAATTCCTGGCAGAAATTGGCTTGAATAAAATGATGGAGAGATGACTCTGCACACATATTCAGTCAGAGAAGACTTAATGGTAATAGGACATTTATTTAGGGGAAGAGTTAGAAACAATGGTAGAAAGTGTGAAGCTAAGTCTGCATGAATATGAACTAATGATGGTGAAGTGAACCATAGTGCACACTCAAACAAATCACCAATCTTTCAATCATATTGCTATATTCAATCTACAACATAGTATCAATAATATTTAAACCCTATATTAGATTTATAAAAATTGTATTTTATATTAATATTTACAGGTCACATTAAGAAATCAGCTCTTCTTCTCCCTATTATCAATTAATATTTATTGAATTGTTCTTTGATGTAAATATGCTGTGTCAACCCCAAAGTTTCCTACTATCTTATCATCATGGTCATCATTGGCTTTACCTGAGTACAGTCAAGTAAATAAATCACTGTGGGTCCAGATGTATGGGTTGCATTCTGCTGGGGTTTCCAAGGGCACTAGAAATGAAGAATAGCAGGTGCACAAGCATCTCTCTGGGACATCCATAACTTTCTAAAAATCCCCTTTGTCTGACTTTATAATATCACATTCTAAAATATTCAGGTTGCTTTTGTTGTTCTCTCCATAAAAAATTAATGGTCATGAAAGTATTATCATGTTTATTTTAAAGCAACTATTTTCCACATTTTAATTAAAAGTTGTAATTCACCATCTTTTGACCAAGTTATCTTAAATCTTCATCTTATTGGTAATGGGCATTGGGCTAGATTCAGAAAGAAATACAAGTGTGACAATGCAAATAGTAAAATCTCAGCATTTCGAGAGATATGGTTCTGTTCATTTCATGTGCTGTACTAACTCTGCCTTTTTAATTAGAAATATTCTCCCTGCTTATGCAAGAATACTGGGAAAGGGGCATTGTCTTATTCATTATGTATTCCACAAGAATCATAAGTGGACAAAACCAGGCATAATATGATGACTGTTGTGTTATTAAAGCACTTTAATAAGGTTACTCCCTCAGTAGAGTGAGCTTCTCAAATACCCGTTTCTTTTCAAGAGATGAGCTACACGGAGCAAGATGTATGTTGCTCCTCTGTGCACACGTGAGGATGATTTCTGTCTGTATTTTACAGATCTTCATGGCTATCCTACCAGGACTAGTTCTTTTTTAGTTCCCTGTCCTACCTCAGGGATTGATGTCCTAGAAAGTATTGGATATTCTATTTTAGTCCTATGGTATATAACAGGAAATAGTTTGAACTAATGATATATTGAAGAAAGGTCTGTAAACAAAGATTCACTACATCTAGGCATTTCTATGCAATGCGGTGCTGCTATATTTACCTCTTTGTCTACCCTGCCCTCCAACTAGAAAACATTTTAATTAGTATTTCAATCTCTAATCATTTTCATTAAAACAAAATCTTTCATAGTACTGAAGTGTTCTTTAAGAAAGAAAATGGAAAGAGTGAGGAAGGGTGGGAGGCAGGGAAGGAGGAAGGAAGAAGGAGAGGAAAGAGGAGAAGGAGGCCGGGTGCAGAGGCCCATGCCTGTAATCCCAGCACTTTGGGAGGCCGAGGAGGGCAGATCACGAGGTCAGGAGTTTGACACAAGCCTGGCCAATATGGTGAAACCCCGTCTCTACTAAAAATACAAAAATTAGCTGGATGTTGTGGCGGGTGCCTGTAATCCCAGCTACTCAGGAGGCTGAGGCAAGAGAATCATTTGAACCCTGGAGGTGGAGGTTGCAGTGAGCAAGATTGTGCCATTGCACTCCAGCCTGGGCAACAGGGCAAGACTCTCTCTCTCTCTCTCTCTCTCTCTGTCTCTCTCTCTCTCTCTCTCTCACACACACACACACACACACACACACAAAGAGGATAAGGAAGGTGAAAAGGAAGGTTTTTTTTTTAAAGGCCTACCCAATGGCAGCAGAGCAAAGACTTATCTATATGCATTACTTTGATTTCAAATTATTTTTAGCATGGCTTTTATTGTACTCATTGTTACATACATAAATCTTTAAAGTAATACGTTTTGTAAGAAATGGTCATAAAAATTTACAGCCAGTAACTTTTCCCCTGTCCCTTACAATGATATTCTACTAAAACCATTAAATGGTTCTCATTAATGCCCTTTAAATGATTGTGTAATGACCCACAATCGCTTGTAAGTGAACAACCATTAAAGAATTACCAGTTCTTAGCATGCTTTTAAGTACAGCTTAAATACATGGGAGGTAACATATAATATATTAGAAAAAGTATTAAATTCGAAATAGTAAAAACATGATCATCACAAAAGAATGAGTAGGTGTGCAACTTTACCCTGCAATGACCACAGTTCCTACTGAACACATTATTATAGTAGATTTTTACAGCATTTGTGCTTTTTCCTTATTGAATCTTTTCCCTTTTTTTCTGGGATTAAAAATAATAATAATAATAAAACCCTGACACAACAGGAGAGAAAGTACATATAAAAGCAAATGGGGAAAATAATTAAACCCATGTAACAGACAGCCTATCTAAACAAAAGTGAACAGTTCATCCCTCAGATACTTTGTGCACAACAGCAAATATTCACTTTTCCCCTAACCATACAGATATTTGACATGAGACTAGTAAGCTCTTGGATGATTGCATTTTTACACCTCAAAGTATTCTGCATCATGGGAATATGGTCAAAGATAGTAATAAATAATAACCCTTTCTGAAGGTGTGAGTTCAGATTAATTCCCTGCTATTGCAAGCTTGTTCTGTATCAAGCTTATCCATCCATGTAGAGTTGGACATTTGATTTGCCCTAAGCTACAAATGTCAAATAAAGACTTTGGTGACATTCTTTTTTGAAGTTCTTTCACTTCTGACAGACCTCATTTGTACTCAACTACCATTCATGGTGATGCAGCAATAGAACCAGGACCCTGGGAACCACATCACCAAATAGAGCAAGGCATAGGGTGAGCACAGTGCCACGCCACACAAGGGAGAAGAGAAAATCAAACATTTACTGCCACTTTCATCTGCTTTTTTTTTTTTTGAAGGCATTTTACCAGGAAGAGGGGTATACAGGGGCATGAGTAGTATTAGTTTTATGTCCCCAAAGACACAGCCACACGTTTTGCTTGGGACATTTTAGAAAGTCAAGCCTTAAACCCCACTCCACAACTATTGTCTTCTTTGGCCTCCTAGGATTGATGATGTACTATCTTGTCTGCTGTCTGACAAGCTCTGCATATTCCCTGTTTTCTTAGTTGCCTCGTTATGGTGCCCTGAGCCAGGGCAGGGAGATTACTGACTTTTGAAATTCTGAGATTAGACTCACAAAGATGATCAGACTTGTTTCTCCATGTCATGAAAGTCTCAGTGCGACTATTCACAATAGCAAAGACTTGGAACCAACCCAAATGCCCACCAATGATAGACTAGATAAAGAAAATGTGGCACATATACACCATGGAATACTAAGCAGCCACAAAAAATAATGAGCTCATGTCCTTTGCAGAGACATGGATGAAACTGGAAACAATCATTCTCAGCAAACTCACACAAGAACAGAAAAGTAAACACTGCATGTTCTCACTCATAAGTGGGAGTTGAACAGTGAGAACACATGGACACAGGGAGGGGAACATCATACACCGGGGCCTGTTGGGGGATGGGGGGAAAAGGGAAGGAGTGCATTAGGACAAATACCTAATCCATGCGGGGCTTAAAACCTAGATGACAGGTTGATGGGTGCAGCAAACCACCATGGCACATGTATACCTATATAACAAACCTGCACATTCTGCACATGTATCACAGAACTTAAAGTAAAATAAAAAATAAAATAAAATATTTTTAAAAAGAATTTGACCTGAAAACCATCATTAAAGTACAACCCTAATAGTTCAATATAACATAATTAAGGTTTTGCTATAATTTTAGCAGAGGCAGGGCTAAAGTTTATATCTGCTAACCAAAATGCAGAGAATGTTGACTTACATGGACTAGAGATAACGTGAAAATCCAAATAAAATTTTCTTGGGTACAAAAAAGAAAAAAAGAAAGTCTCAGCTTGGCTCTCAATTCCTCTGGGGTTCCTTTCCTAACCCCATGAGACTCTTTCCATAATGCTTACCAAGTTCTGTTATAGCGACAGAAGATCTGGAGGGGCAAGAACCACGTTGATTCCATTCCCAGCCAGGTCCCTTGTGCCTAACACAGTGCCCAGTAATCCTAGGCTCTTAACTAAATATCAGGTTATGAAATGTACCCAGAAAGGTTGCAAAATAAGTTCAGATGGCCAAATAGAGCTGGATAATTCTAAATAGATTGCTATTCAAAAACGAAACATAGAGATCTACAAAATTGTCATTAGAAAGTAGAAATCTGGGCCTGACAAGAATAAAACGAATCTCAGGCATTCCGCAGTTTCTCTTCTCTACACCCTTTCCCCTGTCCCGTGTTGGTCCCTCTTGTTCTCTATCCCCTTTCCAGAAACTGTGCTGCTATTATTTCCATCTCTTCCACCCTTCTCCCCCTGCCATAGATTCCCATCCCCATTAAAGTTGTTCTTCAAAAGTCGTTCCAACTTTATGTTAGTCCATGGAGGTCTTTGCATTTTGAATGTTTATCATATGATGAAAAAAAGGATATTTTCTTCCCTGTGACAAGAAATGCAGTTCTGATCATTGGTGGGCTTGTGGGCAGCACCTTCAAGTAGCCCTGAACCCTGACAGAGAAATGAGAGAGAGTGGGGTAGAGTGAGAGGGTTTGGATTAACTGGAAGATTGGCCTGATAAAGAGCATTTTCCTTAACTGATTTGACAAATAAATCAAGCATAGAAAGAAAGGCAAAGAAAAGAACACAATATTTCTTAGCTCTGTGTCACCTGGTATTCTCCCCTGAAGTCAGGAATCTTTCCCATCTCTAATTGTGAGACACATTCACATTCAACCTCGGAGCCTCTTCCCTGCATGCCTGGCAGGAGCTGCCACACTGTGTGTTAAGCGTCTTCATTCAGCTTCATTCAGAAGTCATGTTGCTCAGTACTGAAACACAATCACCTTAAGGGCAATTTTCCAACAGTTCATGTTGATTTACAACATGGAATGAAGACCAGATGAAGTTCCAGGAGGTATTCAGAGAAGACGGGCAGTGATGCATGTTAGAATTTGGTCAGTTTGCTGGATTGCATGTTTCTGCTGGAAAGAGGCATGGAGCATTGGTAGACTATCAAAGGGAGGCATCCTACTTTATGGCCCCATTTGTAAATGCAAAATTCTGCTAAATCTTTCTATAGAAAGAAACTGGCAGTGAGGGTGGCTCCATTCTTATACTCCTCAGCAACTTTTTTTTCTTTCCATGACTAGTAAGAACTCACTTTATTTGGTCCAGAAAATTATGCTGTACCCGCCTTGCTCCTACCAGATTCTTCCAGGGATTCGTGTTTATGATTAAAACAAATAATGACTGTGGCTTTGAGGGAAATTCTGAAAAAGTTTATGTTGTGGATTTTTGGTGGTGTTTTGGTGGTTTTTATTTTAACCTTTCTGAAAGTTTCTATGGAGGTGGTCCTGAGCCAGTCTTTGGCTTCCTAAAGACATTTTATGTGATTTGCCAGATGCCAGTTTTAAAGAAGCACCATTAAAACAACTGGGGGGATAAAATGTCTTGGCTCTCAGATGGTATAAGAGTAGACAGGCAGGATGACTCTAATAGGTTCATGATTTAGAATACAGTGCATTATTTTCCCTTTGTTCCTTCCTTCTATTGTAAATTAATCATTAGAGAGCTCTATCTGAAGCACTTTTTTCTCACTCTGTATCCCGTTTCAACTTGCCCCATGCGACTGCACCTGACTGTAATTTGGGGAACACAAATTGCAGTGGTTCAGCACTTTGTGATTCCTCTAATAAGTTAATGTCACTCCTATCTTCTGGCACAATTCAGTTCGGAAGGGCTGCAATGTATCATTAATGCGTTAAAAGATGTTGTGTTTTTAGGTTGAATACCTGGAATTAGTTGGGAGCCTGACAATCCAAAACACACTTTTTACAGTGCTTGGGAGCCTCAAGGAAGCAATTCTTGTTTAAGCATCTGCGTTATCAGAGCAGCCCAAGTACTTCAAAGGTCTGTGCAGGATGCTCAAAATAGGCACCTTGCCAAACAGAAATTGAAACACATATACGTACTACACTATTTGCCTTACAGAAATTAATTTTCAGCCAGCAGCACCCAGGATTATTTAATATTTATCTTTAGCTGCAGGAAGATGAATCTATTATTTTATGAGTTGATTTTGCTATTTTACCTGAGTGTTTCAGTCAGTCTTTCCAGTAGGAGGCACTTATGGGCTCCCCTAACCCCTGCCTATCTCCCTTTTCTTGTTTTTCTAATTTTTTAAGGATTTGGAAGCAAGAAGAGATTTCATTTGTATCACTTGATTTCCCCAGTGGGTTCCCTTGAATCAATGATCCAAGCAAGTTTTAGGTCTAGGAATGTATCAGTTGAGTAAAGTCAGTAGTGGTAAAAGGTATTGAAGAAGTAGTTGTGGATTGCAAGTAAGGAAACCTGAGTTCTAGAGCCCCTCTCTACTTTTGTGACCTGTGATAGGACACTTAACTACCAGAGCCACCCCTTGTCATCTGTACCTAACTAGTTTAGAGTCAAGTCCCTGAAGAGCTATTTCCCCTAGCAATTCCTGCCTTTCTGAAATGCCACCAAGGCCCAACGGCTCCTCCTTCTGTTGTTAAGATTCTGAAGGACTGTGTACTGTGTTGATTGTTTGCACCTGTGAAGATAAAACACCAAGAACAGAATATGTCACTGTGTCAAATAACAAAATGACTGATAGAGTGTCAGGGGGACTTGAGTGTATGAAAAGCCACAATATTGCAAAGTACTTTGTAGATGGGAATTGTTAAATATCAATGGAGCATTGCTGTGTCTGCACCGTCAGCAGTCTTCCCTGTGACCACAGTGAGAGAGATGATAAAATGTCATTTCATGGACCACATTATGTGCTGCTTACGATGAATATTCTGGCCATGGATTATTACATTTTTGATAAATTGTAACTTCTTGGACCCAAATTTGGTTAGCTTATCTCTAGTACCATTTAAATATCTTAAAAGACTGAATTTGCCCCAAAGATTTAATCATCATTCAGCAGCAGTCTGTAGCCATGTGGTACTAATTTAAATTACTGTAGCTATGGACAAGTCTCTATCCAGAAATTAATAAATGCAATTTATAAGGAATCTTAAGTAACAACTAACAATTTAATGCTTTGTGAGTTTCAGCCAAACTGATTAAATAATTAAAACAGATTTCCAGGGATAGGGGAAGAGATTTTACCATAAAAGAGATAAACAGTTTGGGAATTGTATGCATTCTTTTAGACATTTAAGATAATTAAATCCAAAACCTATGTTAAAATAACACTAAAGGTCTGGTTTAAATCAGTAGTGGGAATTGCTAAGTTAAAAGTTGAACACCATCCTCAATGTCTGCCCCATTGTTTTAAACAAGGCATTTGGGGACTCTCAGAACACTGGGTCAATTTATAGAGCACACTGTTGGTGGGACAATATTGGTCTCAAGCACAAACAAATGTATTCAGTGGAACCTCCTTTTTGTCATGATGTTTTTTGGCTTTTCATGAAACTAAACTGAATGTTTACAATCCACTCAAACTTGTTCAAACCTAAAATTTATTTATTTACTGTTTTCAAATTCTTATTGAAAAAAGGTAAAGGAATTTAGAAATCATAGCTGTTTTGATTTAATGTGTAATAAGCATAATATGTACATTTATGTGCTTAATGCAATTCATTTTTGCAATGAATTGTTGCGTGCTTATATATGTACAGTTTAGGTATGGCTTTGTGGTAGAAAGATTAATAAGGCATAGAAGCACTCTGATTTGTGATGAATAATGATTTTGTAGCCAGTAAGAACAGATGGTAGCTCCTTTGATAGAAATGACCATGGGTTACAATACTATGTATTTCTTTAAGGATTTTTTTAGTAATTTGCATAAATGACTCAAAAAGTGTCCATCAATCATCCGTTATGTTCTATCTGTAGCCTCTGAACCCCAGTGGAGAAAGACCATTTAACCACTTGTGTCAGGGTCTCCCAGATTAAATACGTGAAAGCTGGATGGTGGTATCTACAAGATAGAATGGAAATATGGAAGACTGTTTTACAAACACCTTTTTGAAGGGACGTAGTGAATGCTAGCTGGTTAAATTTTCACTGAACTGGCCATCTTTTTAGGGGCCAAGTAGATGAAAATTAAATGTTCTACTGTATAGTAGGTTTGGAATCCATTATCTTCCAAACTGAACTTATCAAATTTTCCTCAAAATTTACTTTTCCTTGCATGGTAACCAATCATCCTGGTTTGCCTGGAACTGAAGGATTTCCCAGGATATAGATCTTTTATTACTAAAACTCGGAAAGTCCCGGGCAAATCTGCATAAGTTGATTGCCCTCTGTTTGAAATTCTCATCTTGTCTTTTCCATCCTGATTAATTATACTTTCACCTATCCAATCATCCTGGACTCCTTCATTTCTTCTTCCACATTCAGATTTTAGTGAGTTTCATCAAGTATTTTATTTCTCATCCTTCTCTAGTCTCTTCGTTATTACATTGGGTCAAGTAGTATCATGCTTATGCCTGAACTATTGAAGCAACTTCTAAACTGAATACCCCACATCTAGTCTTGTTCTCATTCCAGTCCCCCTTTGACCTAGCTTCCAGTGATATTTAAAAATACCTATTCACTTTGTTAAGTGTTCAGTGGTACTTATTACATAAAATCTTAATTTATATACAACACAAAAAGGCCCACCATCATCCAGTTCCTGCCAAAATCTCCAGGCTTACCTCCATCTGCACTCCTTCCAGCCATCCAGATCCACTTGGGATTTCCTGGGAGCAGAATACTAGTCCATGCTTCTCCACCTTTGGCTGTAATATTTCTTCGTTTCGGGATGCCCTTTCCAGCCCCTTGCAACTGATTTTTTTTTATGACCCAGTTCAAACACTGCATTCCTTTATGAAATCCTTCCTGCCCTCAAATAAAATTGACCCTGACTGATTTTGTGCTAGACTGTGTGTTTTACAGTTATCATGCATCTACAAACACATATTACAGTTACTTGTTCGGTCATTAGTCTTTTCTTCTAGATTCCTTTCTCTTTTAGTGAAGGGAACCTTATTTATTAGTATTTATTTCCAGATTTTGGTATTAGATATTACACAAGACAGATACTCTAATGTTAGTGGAGTGGATGAAGAATCTCTCTCTCTGTATCATTTAATCTGTACTGAGACAGCAGAGAAATGTATGCAGTGATCTCCAAGGATTTTCACAATGCCCTTCTCACATCACCTGGTTGAAACTTGAAGTAGTTATTTACCTGCTCATGACTTCACTGCTATATCATCTATTTGCTCATGGAGTAACTTTCAGAAGCAAACTGTATGTCCACATAAGACATAAAATCTTAGGTTTTATATCATTTTATCCCCTTACACTGTATTAGCTTTGATTCAAGTCTGATGAACACTGTTGACTGCCTACCTAACATCCATTTCTCTGCTCCACCTCAGGCCTTTATCCGTCCAAAGACAGACCTGTTTATTCCAGAATCCACTGTCCTCCCCAGACCATCTACTCCTGAAAAGGTTGCTTCTCTTCCCAAGGGGTGGCCCCTGATTGTTCTAAAGCAATGGTTCTGTTCCCCATTGCTACTGAAAATGCTGTGAGGTTTGGGCATATGACATAATTCTGACCAGTAAATGTAAGAGAAGTCTGTTGGGGGTCTTTTGGAAAGGTTATTTCTCACCAGAAAGGTACCCAGGAAGCAATGGTATCTTGTTCTCTGGATGTGAGTAATAACACTACTGTAGCCATCTTGTGTTGCTGAAGGAGAGCAGTCTCTGGATAAAGCCAGTACTGAGACCAGCATGTGTCATAAATCAGAAGGAGCCCAATCTTGATGTCATTATGGAGTCTCTGATCCTACCCAACTAGTGCCCTCAATCTCCTTCTTCCAGGCTTGTAATTATGTTACTTGTGGCTGAATGTCTCATCCTGACACCTACAAGTTCAGCATTGCCATCTGAGAGGCCAGAGACATTTGCTTAATACTCATTTATATGGTACTTCAAAGGTAAGAATAAAAATGCTTAAAATACACTTGAAATAAAGGAAGAAGCCAAAAAGACTAGCTGAAGTAGCTTCTAATTCTGTCATCTGTTCAATATGTTGAATGACTGAATCAATGAGTGAGTATTTTGTTCAAAGAATTGTACAAAGTGCTTATAAGGAACACATACTCTAAGCAGCCACAACCCTTCCTATATGAGCTAATGGTCTCGTTAGTGAGCTGGGGCAGTGACCTAAATTACTATACAATAAAGAAAAAAGTAATGGTTATTATAGTAATGATAATGACATAACATTTACTGAGCAATGACCATTAACCAGGCACTGTTTTAAGTCCTTCCCAAGGACTTTTTTGCACCAACTGTATTTTCTCTCTCAAATATTTTCCTCCTAGAGTACTTAGCCTAAAAATATTTACATGCAAGTGCATGTATACTCTCATTCCGTGAAGGAGAAAATACCATTATCTTTCCTGACTTTGATTTCCTCTCAAGATATCACTTTGTTTCTCTTGAATCTCAGTTTTTTAAAAATTAATAAACTTTATTTTTTAGAGCAGGTTTTTTAGTTCACAGCAAAATTAAGCAGAAAGTACAAAGAGTTCCCGTGTACCCCTGTCCCCACACATGCGGAACCTGCCTCACTTTCGATGTCCTGTGCCACAGAGGTACATGTGTTACCATCCGTGAGCCTACAAGGACACATCATTGTCACCCAAATTTCATAGTTGATGTTCGGTTTCACTGTTGGTGCTGTACATTCTGTGGGTTTGGACATGTGTCCTCCTATAGCGTTATACAGAAGAGTCTCAATGTCCTAAAAATCTTTGCTCTGCCCACCCACCCCAATCTCTCTTTACCAAGTTTTTTGGAAAAATAAATAAATGACACCTTGTTCTGCCAGCCTTTGATTCTTCATATCACATTCATTCTTTGGTCCACTGCACTTATTTTTATCCCCTCGTTTTTCTGAAACTTCCTTAATAAAGGTCATCATGGACCAAGATGCTGAGAGTGCAGTGACCGTGGTCTTGCTGATTACTTCTGTCTTACCCTCATTAGCAACATCATTTGTCCAGTTTCTCTCCCAAGCCAGGAACCTCAGGCCCCTGCTCGACTCTCATCTTTTCTCTTTTGTCCTTAATTGTTATGTCACTTGTTAATTCTATTTTCTTTTTTAATTTTTATTTTACTTTAAGTTCTGGGATACATGTGGAGAACGTGCAGGTTTGTTACATAGGTATACATGTGCCATGGTGGTTTGCTGCACCTATCAACCCATCATCTAGGTTTTAAGCCCCTCATGCATTCGGTATTAGTCCTAATGTTCTCCCTCCCCTTGCCCCCCATCCACCAACAGGCCCCAGTGTGTGACACTCCCCTCCCTGTGTCCATGTGTTCTCATAGTTCAGTTCCCACTTATGAGTGAGAACATGCGGTGTTTGGTTTTCTGTTCTTGTGTTAGTTTGCTGAGAATGATGGCTTCCAGCTCCATCCATGTCCCTGCAAAGGACATGAACTCATTCTTTTTTATGGCTGCTTAGTATTCCATGGTGTATATGTGCCACATTTTCTTTATCCAGTCTATCATTGATGGGCATTTGGGTTGGTTCCAAGTCTTTGCTATTGTAAATAGTGCTGCAATAAACATACGTGTACATGTGTCTTTATAGGAGAATGATTTATAATCCTTGTTAATTCTGTCTTCAAAATTTCTCTTTCATAAATTTCTCCCAAGAGAAACTCAACTTCTCCTGTCTTCCCTTAGGCTCAGCACCTCTCCCCTGGGCTGTGGTATAAACCTCCTGACAGATCTTCATGCCAGCCTACTCTCTGAATCAATGTTGGAGTAACTTTGTATGACATCATTCTCTTTCTGGCACTCCCTTGTTTGAAATACTTCAATATATTTTTTTCCTGTAGAATGGCATCTCAACTCCTCAGCTTGGCCTGTGATTGTCTTCACAGTCCTGGATTCACAATGCGTCTTGAGTGTCACCTCAGCCACCCCTCCACTGTGCTCTCTTTTCTACCTAAATAGTCTGTGCTGGAGCATGTGTACTTTCACAGCTCTGTAACTTAGCCTAGCCCATTCTCTCTATGTGGAAAGCCCTCCCTCTCCTGTCTAGGTAATGAACTTCTACTATCCCTGAGGCAAATTAGAAATGTACCCTGCTCTCTAGCATTCTTTCCAAGGCATTTTTAATATATCTCCTTCATTAAAGCTATTTTTTTAATGATTGTGTCTGATTCTTGAAAATGATTGTGTCTGATTCCTTTGAGACAAGGAACTTTGGATTATTAATCTCAGTATCCTCTGTACTTGGATCCATGTCTAATGCTTAATATATGTTTGTCGAATTAAGGCTTCTGTGGTGGTATGAACAGAGAATGAGGGAGCTTTGAGAGGGAGCATTTGGTAGGGGAATTTCATAAATTTATTCAACAAATATGTATAGAGGACTTAAAATGAGCCATCCATTCTTCTAGGCACTGTACATAAAAGTGAACAAACAGATGAGTAACTTACACTTGTGAGACTTAGCATTCTATACTAGTGGGAAAAGACAGATACAGTGAGTTTAGCAAAGAACCAGTGCCCAGAATAAATGAAAAGATTGGGGTGTAAGACATAGTGAGTGATGAGGGTCAGTGATAAACTGCGCAGTACATGACCCACCCAAAGGCATTTATTTGAACTCCTATTAAAACGATATCTATAACAGCGGCTACACATTACCTGGCTCACTAAACATATGCTAGGGCTGTATTTGTTCAGTGGATGCCATATTTGTTCAGTGGACACCTCTTTGTTGTCTTTGTTTCAAAGGCATCTTTGTTCCAGGTCCTGTTGGAGAAGCAGGAATAGGCAGTAGACCCTGGAACCTTAGCAGAATGTATTCAGTCTTACTCCCATCAGCCTCGAGGACAGCACTTCACTTTGTCCTACCCTCTTTATCTTGTGCTTGCAGCTTTTAAGATATTTTCTCAGCAGCCACAAGGGTGTCCTGAGCAAGTGGTCTACTTGTGTTTTTTGGAAAGAATAGCTTGTGAATAGGAATAGAAGGTCCAGCAAGGAGAGCTCAAAGGGGACCAAAAGAGTGTGGGCTCTCTCCATTCAGAAGTTTTGGTGTGTTAAATAAAAATAGCTTCTCCAATCATCTTTTCTGAAGCAACGGAGAACAAATAAATATGCCATTAATATGTATGTGTATGAATAGATGGCAGAAAAAAATAATATTTTAAAGTTAAAAAGGCACTTAAAGATAATTCTAGATTAAGCCCTTTGTAAACAGACAGGAAAACTAAAGTTCGGTTATGTACCTGAATATATTAAGCAGTGTTCATGCTTGTCCATCTGCTTCTCCCCCATGTTGGTAGTCAAGGGTTTTCAATAGCAGAAATGGATTGGGGACCCTGACCGGCAAATTGTGTTTTTCCAAATTTCTTTCTTTTTTCTCTTTCCCACCCCCTCATCTTCTTTGTGCTGGTATGTGTTTTTCCAAATTTCTGTAACCTAAATAACAAGCTCTTAATAAGGAGGAGAGCTATGAAAGAGGTAGCTGGAGATGGGTTTGGGTTAATGTGAAGGTGTGAGGATGGTGCATGGAGTACATGTAACTCCAGCTTGCAAATTAAAGCCAGAGGCTTGCAGAATTATTAAGTTCTGATAGTGTGTGGGAGAATAGCATTGTTGATTATTATTATTATTATTATTATTTTTTTTTTTTTTTGAGATAGAGTCTTGCTCTGTCACTCTGGCTGGAGTTCAGTCATGCTACCTCAGCTCACTGCCACCTCTGCCTCCCGGGTTCAAGAGATTCTCCAGCCTCAGCCTCACAAGTAGCTGGGATTATAGGCACTTGCCACTACGCCCAGCTAATTTTTTTTTGGGGGGGGAGCAGATTTTTAGTAGAGACGGGGTTTTACCATATTGGACAGGCTGGTCCCGAACTCCTGACCTCTGGTGATCCACCCATCTCAGCCTCCCAAAATACTGAGATTACAGGCGTGAACCACTGCGCCCGGCCCGTTTATTAATTTATTCATCCATGTATTTATTTCCCCATTTACAAATGCTGAACTTCACTACTGCTTACTTCTTGGAGGACATAAGGTGGCAGAATGCTCCTCCATCCCAGGGCTCACAGTCCCATGCAGGAGCCAGGCATGCAGGCAAATTATCACAATGCACTGTGACATGCGAGCATTCATGTTATTCCTGAAGAAAAGGAAAGACCACCCGGACTCTGAAGGCAGTTTGCTCCAAGTCAAGTGCCATATTAAAAATACTTTACTGTACCCTAACAGTGCTGTCTGTGCACTAATAATCCTCTGAAGAACCTTTTTCCCTCTAGCAAAAATAACCTGCTTAGAAGATATTATGAAGAGGTTTTCTATTTCTTTTGAAGCTATAACACCCTCCAAGTGACGTACTCTGTGTTTTCTGTTATTCTGTTCCCGGAAGGACCAAGGCTCCTGAGTCATAAGATGGCAGTCATTCTCCACAGCCATTGGCTCCCGGGAAGCAGGCATTTCCATCATCTGCAAAAGGAAGAATTAGCCGCCTGCTTGAATCGACCGTATGTGTGTTGGTTGAGAGTTGTGATGAGACGTACCCCTGACAAGAGCTGAGTTGCCCAGCCAGCCTCCCTTTATCAGATGGGCCAGTGCCAATCATCATTGTTCTCGCAAGGTGATAGCAGGAGTTGTTCCCCGTTAGAAGATGGTGGCATTCTGGCAGGGTCACCGTGGTGTTAAGATGCATAGCATTTGTCAGGTTTGCCTAGGACTTCTGGAGGTTTAGTTATGAAACTTGTTAATTGAGCTATAAATATAGCTGCAGCCTTTGCCTTCCAGTAAGGCAGTGTGTTAATTTGGGTTTGGCAGGGGGATGGTGCAAGCTGCCAATGTTATGTTAGGATTAGTAACGTGCAGTACATTTTAACTCCACTTCCCCATGTGCCACGCGTTCCTCCTCTGTTTGTTATCTTTGTGAGGGAAGAGAGAAGAAGAGAAAGCAAGCTCATCGTCATGGGCATCTTACATTAGGGATATTTATCTGTGGGGCTGCTTTCTACCCCTTAGGTCTCCAAATAGAGTCAGAGGGAGAAATGAAGAAACCCATATGCACGATTCCAGAGGGCACAGCCGCAGCCTTCTGCCTAAGATTAGTGTAACCCCAGTTGAGAACAGGGGTGTATTTGCTCTTGCTCCCTGCAGGGAACCCCTCCCTATATTCAGGATATCTCTCTCTACTTTAAGGTGGAAGCGATAATCATAAATATATATTATCCTTTTTATAAAAAACACACATAGAATTAGATGTGGAATGGAGTGGATTTATTTGCTTGTTTGCTTGTTTCTTCTTCAATGAGTTATTAGAGGGTAAATAAATGTGTCACTTGCTCATCTGACTGAGAAAATATGTGAGAATTTTAAACTAGACAGAAGAGCAACTTTGGTTGCATACTTTGTGCTCACAGAGGAAGGGAGGTGAGGCTGATGAAGCAGTTATTTTCATGACCCTTTAGAGATGCTTGATAAGTATTGAATGAATGAATGGATGGGTCTCAAACAGTTTTAAAAGAGTGGCCTTTACAGATTAACCAGATGGCTATGTCTGCTTTCTTTTCTTAAAACACATCAGTGACCTGGAAATAGGTTGGTAAAAATGTGGAATCCTGTTAGTTGGCAGTGTGGTTGAGGAAAGAACTAACTTCCAACTAAATAACACTGAACTTTTTTTTTCTAAAGCACCTGGCTTGAGTAGAAATATGAGCGATTTAGAAGCCTAACATCCTGTGTGGGTTTCTCGGGAGACAGTGCTGATTGCATTTCCCTGGTTATAAAATGTTACGGAGAGATCAGCTTGAATTAAATATTCTTGGTTTTTCATTCAGCTTTCCACTTCTTGGGCATGTCTCTCACCTCCGATAGGCAGAATTTTCCACTTGTTTTTATTGTTTTGTTTCTTTGTGTGTGTGTGTGTGGTTTTAAGGAGCAGAGAGTTTAATAGGCAAGAAGTGAAGGGAGAAGACAGAAGGAAGAAGCTCCCTTGTACAGAGACAGAGGGAGGGGGGCTCCAAAGCCGAAAGAGGAGGTCCCCCTGTTGTTTTGTTTCATTAGAGTGCCATGTCTTTCTTCCTTCTTGAGTTGAACTCTAGAAATAAAGATGTTATATCATGGACACAGAAATGTGCTCAACTCTAATGAAGATTGTATTATTATTATCATTTTTTTACAGTGAGACTGTAGTGTGCCTTAACTACACCAGCTGTTAATTGTATTTTTTTAAGTCCTTCTGATATTCATTTGAAATGCATTTTATAACTCATCTGGTAACCTTGCTGCTAACCAACAATTATAGTCTGACATTTGAATACAAAGAATTTGGGACAAGCCACAGTTGTACATGGAAACTTTTAAAACAATGTCTCCCTTAATATATTCCTTAGTGAAAAACATTGTGAAGAAATGATTATAGCCTCACTAAATTCTGACATGCTGAAAAAATGTCTGTTCATTCTTTGAAAATTTCTACCAACTTAGTGATTGTGAATTGAGAAAACAATAGTAATAAAACAGCCACAGGCTACACCAGGGAGCCAACCGTTCCTCCACTCCACCCTGTTCACAAACTTGACACAGCCTGGACCAATATTAATTCCAACTGTTTGAGGTGGACAGTGAGTGGGTGCCATTCACAATGTGGTTTCTTCGGAGACTGAAGAATCTGGAATCAAATTGATAGGATTATTAGAGTCTGAAGCAGGCTGCTATGGGCAGTTGTGGGTTTTTGTACTTAGGCACCAGGCCGAGTAGGCAAGTGTGAGCTGGAATCTAGCCCTGGTACTGCTTGCCAAGCTGCATGCCCCAGCCTGGGGCTGCATCAGCCGAGAGGAAAGGGCCATTCTGCAATTCATCTGCCAGGGTGGAGTGCCTTTTTGTAACTTGCACAAAGATATACTGTGCGCTAGAGGTGGCCTTGGATGGAAATAACTGTTGTGGGAGATCCTGTCTTCCCCATTGCTATTGTGTATATGAAACACTCCTGGACTCTAACAACCCCTTCATTAACCCACCCCTATTAGTGAGAGGAGAGATGAGTTATCGATCTGATGGCAGAGTCTTGAAGGAGAAACTAAACATGGGCAGCTCTATCCCTTTTCCTGTCTTTCTCTCTTTAGGGAACTAGCTGCCCATAGACAGCATACATCCTCTAGGTGTATGCAGGAGGTAAGGAAAGGAGGGATGAGAGGCCTGACCCAGTGGTCTTGGAAATTAGAGTCTAATTCCAGGAAACTCAGCTGCACATCTCTCCCAACCTTGCTTTCTTCAGTAAGTAAGGTTCTAATTTGGCCCCCATCTGCTTACTTCTTTGTCTTATTTTTTTAGTTGCTTTAGAATTCAGGAAAAGGGGTGCTATTTATTGAGCTTCCAAGAAGATCTTAGAGACCATATAATTCCCCATTTCCCTCCACACCCACACTTATAACAGAATTGTTCGTTCCAGCAAAAGCCACGAACTAGTGGGCCATTGGCCAAGTGTAGCCTACATCATATTTTGTTTGGCACAGAGAGTGTCTTTTGAAAATAATTGCACCAACATTTAAAAATGAGAGGTTGCATGTGCACATCAAGAATTCTGACCTTTCTTAAAAAATAAAATTGGAAAATCTGGCCACATCAGTCCTGCCTCTCCACATGGCAACAATCAGCTAGAGTTGTACTCCCATTTCCATGGAGCATTTACTCTCGTTTTCCTCTGTCTTCTCCATTCTCTTTTGGCTCATGGGCTAAGGCTGGGTGTCAGCCACCATTTATCATTCCTCTCTCAGTTTTTGTTTAGAAGTAAATGAATGTCCCTTTACTCTTCTGTCCCTTTCAAAAGTCTATTGAGAAGTCTCCATTTATGAAGAAACAAGAAACATGGGAGAGAGCAAATGTCTTTATGGAACCATAGATTATTTCCATATGTTTAACATGTATTTTTTTTTCCTGGATGATTCACATATTATGCCACCTACCTGGCTTCTGTAGATATTTGGGATTTCTTAGTGAAAGTCTTTATGCTTTTCTTAAAATACAACACATGAAAAGGAATTCACTGCTATATGGAAGCTCTTCCTTTTCTTAATACCTGCTCCCTGCACCTTACACACAATGGTATTGGCTCAGCCACCTCAAGCCAAATGAAGAAATATGCGTCTGTTAGCTCATAAGGTGTTCACTAATATTTCTTGTCCTCCTTTTGGATGTGGTAGAATTTCACCTTCTCTAAACCTTTAAAGTTAACCATGACAGATTGACTTGCATCAGCCAACAAAATGGCCACAGAAGGGATAGGTTATTTTCAGAAAAAACTTGTGAGAATCAGTGTGAAGTGAACAATTAGCCTCTTTTCTTCCTTTCTGTGAAAAGGACTCTACAGAAAACAGAGGCTCCTTCAGCCTGTGTGCCTGAGTGTGTTGACTGTCTCAACTGTCACCTTCACCTCACCTCAGATCAGAGATGGACAGGTAGTGCTAGTGAGGGTGGAAAAAAAGAACTTTGTTGTTTTAAGTCCCTGAAATTTTAAGGTTTTCTGTTAGTATTGCAAGCCTGGTCTATATTGATAGATACACCCCTTCTTCCGTTTGGCAGTTCTGGTATTTGAAGATCATTCCATTGCCTTTATTTTATGATTCTCTGGAATAAACTTCCATTTGATGCATGCATGATATATTTTCTAAATATGCTCCAAGTTCCCATCCCATTCCATTGAAGAAAATCTTTCTCAAGATAATATTCCTATGGTCAGCACTGCCAACAGCTGCAGAACAATCCAGAACAGGGAGTGAAATCTGCCTCGAAGCCAGAAAAAGAACACTGTGACACATTCCATATTCAAAAATATGTCACATTGGGCCTGTTTGCTATTTTATGTGGCCCTGGGTTGTCTGTGATAGGGGCAGCAAGAAACCTGTTGTAGAAAGCACAGTTACCATCCATCGCTGAGAAAAATTGGAGGCATTCTTCAAACTTTCCAGCTCCCCACTGAGTTCCTGCCATGCCTGAAAGTCTCCAAACTGTCCTTGAACTTGCTGCTATATTCAGCCTTTATCTGAAACCCTACACTTGCTTGGTGGAGTGAGTTCCAAGGTTTACTGACTAGTGTGAAACTGAGTAGTCCCTTTATTGTTTCTGAAGAACATCTTCCAAAATTCAGGAAATACGCTCTTGTTCTAGTACTTTGATAATTGTATAGGCTTGAACTCTATAACCTTTTATTACATGAACCTTCCTTGTCCTACCAAAGGAAAATAACGTATTTTCCATTTGGGGGTTATTTACAAGGATTTAAAAACATTCTTCATAACTCATCAGAATTAAAATATTATCCAATATAATATTTTTAAATGAATTTTATCCATCAATCCATCTGTTTACCTATGTTAGTGTCTCCTTTTCTATTTTTGTCCCAATGTGTGTTTGGATGATGTGATGAGTAGCAAGGAGGAGCTAAATGAGAACTGCAGAGAGGAAACAAAATCGCTGTTATTTGTCCTTATAAACCTTGTAGTCTCTCCCCTCTTCCTAGTCCCTATTCAGGAGAACAGAGAGATGAAGGCTGAAGGTTCCAAAGGTCAGTGTGATACACTGGGCTTATCATAGATATTTCAGTGGGAAAACCATTTTGATCTCCTGCCTGCTGATTATAACTTTGGGCGAGGTACAATAGGAAGAACTTGAAATTCTGCAGTAAGAAGGTTCCAGCTCCAGCTCTGGAGGTAATTAGGTCATTTGGCTTGTCTAAGCCTCACTTTCCTAGTTTGTAAGACTTCTACTCTACTTACCTCATTGAGGTCACCTGAGATTCCAGTGCAACATCTACAGATGCATTGCCTTAAAGTGGACTACTGTGAATGTGCTAAACTGTTTCAATTAGGATTCTTTCAGGCTGCCAGCAAGTAGAGGCATGTTTTTAGGAAGGGAAGATTTTCCCAAAAACTTTTTAGAAGGCCCCTATTGGCCTTGTGTCCCTGCGATTTCTCCCTCTGTGACCCTTTTCAGGCAACAGCACCAAAGAGTCCTAGTGAGGCTTGTCTCCAGCACCAGGTAATTTTTACATCTTTCCCAGCTTCAAATGCAAGCCCCTAAGGAATTCAGTCTCCCTATGCCCCTCCACATACTGTTTGCTGAGTTTATGTGGGAGGTCCCTGAGGTTATACAACCTAGAAGAGCTAATGTCTGAGACAGCAAAGAGATCGAGCTTCTGGCTTTGCTCAGAGATTGGACTTTTCTGGTGTGAGAGGCCTCAGTGGAAGGATCATAATGCACTGGGAGCAGTAAGGTACTGGAAGGAAAGGAAGGCTTCCAAGTGCTGAGGGCAGGCCACGTAGCCACCAGAATCTCTTTTCTTTCTCCACAGTGAGACGTATCCCTTCACTCCATCTCCTACTTGTGTCACCAGGGACATATTTTTTTCCATTTGTAAATCAGACAAACGAGATTTAAGGATTTCGAGGGCAGTCCTGAGCACTTGGTTGGTAGTATTTTCTTTGGGCAGGGACTAGGCACTTTCCAGCTTATTTTCTGGATACTCAGAAGTTTCCCAAACGTTACTCTGAGGGCCGTGTAGAAATACACTCTTCTGTCAGGCTTTGGTTTCTGAAGTGTGAATTCCTGTGACTCATGGCTGTCGTCTTATTTCTCATTTTTAAAAAATGAGAATTATGTGGAAGCCAGACCAACTGTTGTGGACTGAATTGGTAAAAGAAAAAGAAATTGGATTCCAGGTGATCCAGTCCGTCCTCTCTGAGAAAGCAGATTGTGGATGAAAACATGGGCATAAATGAATCAACATATATTACCTTTGTAATATGTCTTCCCATCATCAGTGTGTTCATAATAGGAATATATAAGCTAGAGGGAAGACTTTGTGATCTATGCCTCAGATTTATCTGCACTCCCGGAGTCGCTGCTTAACTAACCTTGCCCTGCCCTGCACCATCCTTCATCCCTGCAAAGTAAATAAATGGAGTTCCCCTCAGCTTTTTTTCTTAATTAGCTATCAAAATTTGAGGTGTCACCCAGGCTTTGAAGACCCCTCTGACTCTGTTTTAAGAATGTGGGGGTTGTCCTGCTGTCCTTGGCCAACTCTTCCCCTCTCCTATCAGTGGTCTCCAAGATGAATGCAGCCGCACACGCGTTTCCTGCCTGGCTCCCACCACCAGTTTCAGAGATGGCGGAGCTCCTGGCCTCTGTTTGTATATAGAGCTGTCTGAAATGCATTCGGGATCTCTTGAGGTGAAAAGAGTTATATAAACAGAGAATGTTATTATGGATTCTTACTACAGATGGAAATGACTGGGTATTCTCAAAATAAATAACATTTCACATTTTTATAGATATGTAACATAATATGCATGTGTGTGTGTATTTATATTCTTTCCATCTTGAATACACAGCCTCTCCTTCCTCAGCACTTGGATAAGCCATTCATTTTGCCTCCTGCTTTTTTGATTCTCTTCTTAAGAATTCATTTAATTGTTGCCAGCATTTGGAGAGTTAGGATGAAGCGGTTATAGGCTTCCTGCTAGCTCCCGCCAGATAAGCCTGCCGTGGCTGTAGCAGTTAGGAGAGCTGAATGCTGAAAACACTTAAGTTCTGTTTTTCCACTTCCCCTCTAAAGAGAGATCAATCGGCTAGTAGCTCAGCATAATTACAAATGGAAACTTCCTAGAAGTGGTGCCCAGAGTTACAGGATTCAGTGTAAGGCACCTAGACCTCGAAGTTACTTGTTTAGATATAGTGGGTGCCTCCTCCTCCTTTTATTGAATCTGTATATTTATTTTCCTTGAGTTCCAGAGGACATAGCATGCCATATCTCATTTACATTAATCTACTTTCAGTTAAACATACAAGTGAATGTAGGTAAATGAATGATAGGATTATCACTTTCATAATGGTGCCATTCCCACAAGGAAAATCCCAAGTATTGGGACCCCATGCCTGGGGTTTGCAGAAAAGAGCAAAGATGCCAAAAATTTATCCTGAGCCAGGGAAGAGGAAGATTGGCATCCACAAGTCCAGGCAACACAAGGCAGGCAACAGCTGGCTTTGCCAGCTCCACCTGGCTCCAATAAAGGACTGGCTGCCATCCTTGGCAATGGCTGGTGGGAGAGACAGACAAAAGCCAACTTCTCCGAGGCTGGCCAGTTCTGGTGGAAGAAGGTGGAGGAAGGAGAGGTAGCTGGGTGAGAGGGCCTCGGGCCCTCAGTATAGTGCTGAGAAAATGACTGACTTGGGGGAATTCAGGCCAATTATAGAGTGATCCTTTCACACCCAGCCATCTGGAGATGCCTGTAAGGGGATGGAGCCTGTAATTGGGAAGCTAACCTAAATGACAACTTCCAAATTTTAAGGAGATTTGATAAAATTTTAAGCTAAGTTTTACTGAGTGCCTACTATGTAAGCAGGCTTTTTGATAGGTGCTGTGGTCAATAATAACAATAGTCATAATGATGGTGATAACAAGATGATGATGATGGTATATTGCTAAACTTAAATGAGCACTTACTAGGTGCCAGATTGTGTTATGTGCCTCAGCCCCTTTGATTCTCATCCTTCTTTTAAAATCAGGAAATCAAGACTTAGGGAGTTAAAGTAATGTGCCCAGGATCATAGAATTAGATGATATTGCTGGAATTTGAACCCAAGCAGTTCAACTCTTAATCTCTATTCTAGATTAGGCTGAAAATTATATGGGGTTGTACTTAAGGAACTAATAGTAAATAAGAAACTACATAATAATGATGATAGAAATAATTAATAGTAATAACAATAATACAGTAGAACCCCACAGTAATGCACTCTGCAACAAAGTAAATTCAGATATAACACACTTGAATATTCAATTTCATTCCTGGCTTTGAACTCACTTACACTAAAAATTAACTGCACAAACCCCTAATCTATATTTTTAGAATTATTATTTTTGGATCCCATTCAGAGTGATCTGGAGGAATATCACTATATAATATTAGTATAACAATAGCAGTAATAGCTGATTTCAATGGTATACAAGAGTAGCTGGTTTTTATGGACCATGTACCATGAAGCCATTAATTCTAGTTCTTACAACCAGCCCCCAGAAAAGTAAATAATGTTATCCCTGATAGAGAGATGAAGGTCATGAAGCTTACATTATCTGCTCAAAGTTGAGTAAGTTAAGTGGAGAGCTAGGATTGGAATTGACTCAGAATGAGTCTCATATGAGACTCACTATGCCATCTATATTGCCTCTCTCCAATAAAATGGGATATATGAAAAGATTGCATATGGTACAGTTACACAGAGGAGAGAGCATATTTAATTTTAAGGAATGGGTTTGTATCAGAGAGAGAGAGAGCTAACATGTACTGAGTTCTTACTACATGCCAGTCACACTACTGAGCACGTAGCCTGTATTCTTTCATTTAATCTTTGTAAAAACTGAGTCAAGCTTTATGGATGAACAAGAACCATCCAGAGAGACTGTGAATGAGAGGTGACTAGTCCAAGTTGAACGAATAGTATGTAGAAAGGCCTAGAGCCATGAAATATCATGATGTGTTTGGCAGAGCTAAAATCATTTTGGTTTTACATGAGCATAAAAGATAGTGCAGAAAGGCAGTATGTGGTTGTGGGGGAATAGAAGATAGTGGGGATCAGAGATGGAGTTATAAAGATAGAACTGTGATGACATTCTGAAAGGCCTTGGACCTGGCCCTTGTCCTACAGATAGTATTTGGGTGGCAGAGTGGAGGGAGAAACAAGTCCAGGTAGAAATTTAATTTTCTCAAAAAATCTTGAAAGGTGGAGCTATTATCTCATTTCATTGTAATCAGTAAGGAAACATGATGCCCAGATAGAAAGAGGAAAGAACTTAGCCAAGATTTTGCAATTTGCAAATGGCAGAGCTGGGCTTCAAACCCACTTCTCTCTGGCTCAAAAACCCACATTTCTTTTACAATCCCAAGATGTATCACTTTACGTAGCTCAGTTCTAGAGCTTGGAAAGGAAATGAATAGAAAGAAGGTAGACAGAAAGTGCTCAGCAACTTTAGATCTACTTATACAAGACTGTCCTTGTGTTGCCAAAATAAATTGCTTTTTTCTTATAGATTTTTATTACAATTACCAATGTTACCATTGCCACTATGAATTTTAAAAAGGTCAATCAAGAAAGATGATATTGTAAGATGGAGTCACACAGAACCTGAAGAAAATGATCAAGTAATGGTAGAGCCTCTCTAACTTCTGTCACTAGCTAGGCTGCCGCTACTTACATTTAGAAAGCAGGGCTTCCAAGAATTGCTGGGGCAGGTCATGCATGCACAATGATACCCAGTGAGGATAAAAATCATACTTGCATTTGACTCACCTGTCCCAGCACTGAGTTGTTTCTACCCTGAGGAAAGCACCCATTTTTCATACATAGGAGCCATACAGGTTAGCAGAAGTCACCGTCATGAAAGAAGCATCAATAAATCAGCAGTTCCCATTAAAAGTTTTACCTGGTCTCCACATTTTGCATAAAAAAGCACCACTGTACCCATTGTTTGCATAATTTCAGCAATGCTAGCATTTAACTTCTAGTTTAATGGTACATTCAACCTTTACCCCAAATTATTGTTTACTCTCCAAAGCTTTTGATTTTCTTGATTGACACTCCAGATTATTTTGTTTGGTTTTGTTTTTGCTTTTGTTTTATCCTTATAAGTGTGGAAAAGAACTGTGGCACAGGAGTCTGATGATTCACTCTTCTACTCAATATTTAGCAGAACTATGCCATATTGGTTACTTTCTCAGAATTCCATCTTACTCAGCTTTGAATTGAGCATAATAATACCTACTTCCCAAGGATTTTTAATGGGAAGTGTCTGACTTGGAGTGAGACCTAAAAAGTGGTCATGATTATTGGGGTGTTATATAATAAACAGTCAAGATTACACAGGTTTATCTTCACCCAACCTGGCTTAAAACTGCTATCACTCCAGATCCCCCCAAGTGACAGGTTTACTACAAGGACAAATAATGAATTATGGATTCAAAATGGGGAAGTGGTAAGGGGCATATAAGAACTCCTTTTCCAGGTGGCCTGACTCCACACCAACTCCGAACCCTATTTTTTTGCTAGCTTTCTTTTGAACCTTTCCTTGAAGGAAATCCAACTAGTTTTTTTTTATCATAGTTTTAATAGTTTATTATAGTTTTTTATTATATTTATATGTATGAAGCTAAACATTAAAATTGCATGTAATGTATATTTAGATTATACATTAATGTAAGTATCTTCTTGTCTCTTACAAGTCTTTGCTCAAACGGATTAATACCCTCTCAGTGTGGTCTACCCTGACCACTCAGTATAAAATCCAGTCTTGCCCACAGAACACCTTCTCCCTTTCCTGTTTTATTTTTTTCTCTCTTTAGCATCTCTCACGTTCTCATATGCTACATAATTGTTGTTTTGTTCATGTTTTGTTTACTCTCTCTTTTCCACAAGAATATATGCCACATGAGGGCAAGGATTTTGCTCTTTTATCTTGGTAGCCTTTTCCCCAGGGCCTAGAAGAGTGCCTGGAATTTGTAGGAGCTTAATGGTGAAGAAATAAAATTATATTATGGTTGCTTTCCCCACTAATTTCTAGGACCTGAGAGTTTACATATTTTATTGAAAGTTGTCAATAAAATGCTTTTTTTGGAGAGTCGATACACCTACAGACATAGAGGTCCTAATTAGCATCTAAAAATTTTACGTAGCCCATCGTTTATGAAAACCAAAGTAAACTCCCACTTGTCCAGAATAATGCATTTTCTCCTGGGATGAGAAGCCTGAAGGTTGCCTCTGCCTATTTCATGAAAAGGAATAAAATGTAGAACTATCTCTTCCATCTATAATTTTTTTCCCACCCTATTATTGGTAACTTCTAAGATTATAATGTCAATCTGAGATATTGTGTAATGGATAGTAATTAAAGGCTTAAATCTTGACTCAAACAATGAAGTAATGCTGCTCTGAAAGGGGAAAGAAAAACTAAGGTCCATCTCTTCCAAATCTCTCGATGTGGAAGTGCTTGTTTGTAAATTGTCAACTCTGTGTGTATGTGTATGTATTTCTTCTTAAATGATGATTATTTTGGGCAAGTGAAGAGCTTTGATTGTGTCATCTGTGCATAAAATTAGTATGAAAGTAATGAGTTTTTTTTGGTGATTCACTGAATTGTCAGGTGCTAGTTAAATGGCTAAGGCAAAGTCAAGTGACAAAGATTTTCTTAAATCTTTGTTTCAAAGTAATGTAATGGAAACACAGATAAATTTCAATATGATTGTGTTAAAGAAACATTTAGCAAGACAGCAAATAGATGTGTGTGGGTCAAATGGGAGGATGGGTAACTTTAGTACAGGGAAATATAAAATAGTGCATATTCAAGATCATGGACAGTTTAATCATATACATATAAACAGGGACAACCCAGTTTATTTGTTGACTTACTGCTTTTATATTTTATCCTGGAACTCTACTCTATTTTGTTTAATTGACAATGGTTTCTATTTCCCTCTCCTTGAGTAACTATTTTTCATTCCCGAGTTTGGGGGTGGGAAGAGGCTTAAAATATCAGTAAGACAAATGGGAAGAAAGGCGAAACTATCTTTGTCTGCAGGTTATATAACCTGTGTTTATTATGTTTATAAGGGATGAAGATATAGCCACTATAGTATCCAGAAAAAGAGAATCATATTGGTTGGTTCCCATGTGTAGGAAGCATTTCAGGCTGAGCACAGTGAACTTACTAGAGTGCTATCCTCAGCTGATGGAAGCTGAGCTTATGTTGTAAGCAGTGCATATTATTGTATAAAATTTACTGCAAAGGGGAGTGATATGAATAGAGAATGTATACAGTAGCTTACTGCGTGCTAGCAGGTCTTTTCTGGGCTCCTAAATGTTAACTGGATAGTAATGTAAGTTATTACACTCATTAAATTAGGCCACAAACAAGTCAACAGTGATTCAGCAAAATGGCTTTGTTTGTATAGTGCAAGGAAGTCTGATAGATATCCAGTCACACATTTATGGCTAAATGGATGAAGATTTTAACATTACAGCCTAATAAAAACCCCATACTGTGTGATTAAATAAGAGGGAAAGCAGTAAAAAAGAGAACGCGTAATGACGGTAACATGTAGGTCAGTTACAATTTAATTGTCATTGCACTTCATTGCTAACATATCAATTCTCTGCTGCTTAGCTGAGCAGAAAACAACAACTTAACATGTACACTGGGCCCACTGACGAGTCGTCAAACCCCCACTTCCATCACCTGCTTTTGACTACTTCCTTAACAACCACGTGAAGTCTTCCTGCTTTAATAGGATAATCTTGCTGAAAGCTCCTGCTGATTGTTTCTTCCTATGCTCAATGCATCAGTGATCAGTAAATTTACTTCACACTCTACATAGATGCTAAAATTAGATTGTTTGCATTACAACTTTCAATACTTCTGCAACAAGAAACACCTGCCTGCAGATTTATATTGTTTTGTTTAATGGTTTAAAATAAAGATAGCCTCACAGTGGCGATACCTTGATGTACTATATCGGAGGCACACAATGGCTGATCATTTTTCTTACTTATCCAGTTTGTACTGTATTTCTTGCCATATAAGGTATAGCTTCATTATCATTAATTGCAGCTTTAGAAAAACCGAGGAAGTATTTATTCTTGCCAACTTTGCTGCAATTTTACTTATTCAATGCAACTAAGAAATGAGGGGGGTAGAAAAGCGCAGTATATTTAACATTTTTTTCCCTGAATCTGGATAATTCACACAGATCTCAAAGAGGCTTTGGCACCTTTTTAAAATGTTAGCTCTAGAGAATTGTCTGCCTAGCATACTTATGGTGATCTATAGTAAAGACTTAACCGAGTACATAACCAAACTATTAATTCAGGTGCCTAAGGTGACATATTTTATCCAGCTTAGCGTAGTCTATTCCATATAGAATAGAGCACAGCTCTTGGTATAAAAAATGATCTAGCAGAAGCTAGATAATTTTATTAGAATGATTAGAAACATCAACATTTTTTTCTCATTTCAAATCTCATTTTAATTCAGATTTCTGGGAATCAGGCCCATAGATTCCAAATGTTTCAAGTATGTTCTACTGGTAGATTTTCTTCCCTTTGCACCTCATTTTACCTATTTAGATGGAATCATGTGTCATCTAAGGGCAAGAATAAGGTCCTATAGTTCAAGATCATGGACAAGCAGAGCAAAATCCCCAGGAACAAATTCTATCTCTAGAATGATATCTAGAGGCAGTCTCCAAGCAATGAGAGTTATTAGTGATTTGGGAAGAGTCTCGTGGTTACCTCTAAGACTGGCAGCTTATGAATCTCCAATTCTGATTTAAGGGTCAGTAATTGATAGATACTAATCCAGGATTTTAATCATTAAGAAAACATTTATAAGAAAAAAGGGATGAACACAAGGAAGGCATGCTTCTTCTTTATGCACTATGGATGGAAATTCTTTCTTTGAGTTCAACCAGGGAAAGACCGAAGTAGTACAGTACTTTTGGTTTCCATGGTGCTACTTATAAAGATTATGCAAAGTGTTTAATGAATAAGTAACTCCTCTTAACACTTTGTGGATGAGACACTTAAGAGATTTGGACAAAAATAACAATATGAATAAAAAGTTATATGTGGTGGTCCAAATGCCTAGTTATCTGCATATACCCCTGTCTGCTCAACTGCACCAGGAAGATGGCTGTCTTCTATTAAGAGTATTCTTTCTTATCCTTTCTAATAACAAGTACAGGCCAAATTTGTTCCTCTAGCATGGGCAACTTCTTGTCATCTTGGATAATCGTGCCTAGTGGAATTGGTAACACTCAGACTGCCTAGAAAATGAACCCTAGCAATATGCAAAGTTGCTTATCCAGGTGAACATTCTGCAGATGCTCTAGAAAGTGAGGGAGAAAGCTGAGGAAGACCTGTCATCGCAGAACTATCCAATTAGAGTTTTTATTGGTGAGGGTTCTCTTTAGTCTTTTATTTTGATTCATTTGTTGAGTGCCCATATACGTTTTTCTCTGTCCCCATGAGAAATAAATTGTAAGTAAAAGACTCATTTTCACAAGTAACATATATTATCTGGGGGTTTGGGGGGAAAATGCATTGATTTTTCCATGAAAATGAGCTTTGGAGATTTACAAGTGCCTGGCCAGCTAAATATAGAAATGTGATAAATTCAAATTCACAACAATGGATTTAACCACATTATTGTCAAAATAATTTATTTAACCATGTATTAACTTATCTGAAATTAGCTAGAAGAAGGACTGAAGAAAGCTGAGTTTTCAAGTGTTTTCAGATACCAGCTTCAAATCATATTTACCACTTGTCTAATTTTTAAACCTTGACCAAATAATGCCATGTTCATTTTATCTTTGAATCAAAGAGAACTTGGAAAATTTCCAAATGACAAACTCTATTCACTGACTTCGAGCATAGATTTATCACCCAGAATATTAACTAGCTTGATTCTTGATACTACTTAGCTGTTTTAAATGGTAAGGCCAATCAGTGTTCTCTAGGGCTATTTTAGATTCGTCTCTCTCAAAACCTTAGGAGATTAGTATCTAAGCATGGACTGAGGGAAGCATTGCCCCATTATGCATCATGTATGTGTGTGTGTGTGTATGTGTCTGTGTGTGTATGTGTGTGTCTGTGTGTGTGTGGTGTGTGTGTGTATGTGTGTGTGTGATGTGTGTGATGATGGTTTGGCAGAATGGACTTCCACCTTCTCCAACAGCTGCCTTTTATAAGCTTATCTGAAACACTGACACAATTTTTGGAAGCTCATTAGACTTAAGAGTGATTGCAAATGAAATAGGATGCACAGTTACTCACTGACATTCATGCCTGCTTTTTAAATCTCATGCTGTATTGTTGCGGATCTTGATTTCACACTCAGATGCTTAACCCCACATTAATATGTGTCTTCTTCCTCAAGATGAACACAGTTGCCTTCCTTGCCTGGTATTATCATTCCCCACCAACAAAATGGATTGCAGGAAGTTTAGAGGGAGAAAAAACAACTGACATGTCTCAAAATTTTAACCATGATTTTTCCATGTATTCCTTAATGCAATTCATATATTTAATGCAATACATATTGTTGAGTGCCTACTATGTACAGCCCTGTCCCGGCACAATGTAGATTGTTATGGGGAATTAGCTTCTTAAATAAAAAGACAGGTATTTTCATCTCCCTAGGGTCATGCCAGATGTCTGTTTCTTTTTATCTTTCCTTATTGAATTATGTTTACCTGAATACATCAGGTTCATTTCACCTAGGCAGGATGTCCCATTAAGCATGACAAGTAGAAGGTTGCAAGATTAATGCCCTTCTTGAGCTTGAATTAGTGTGTCAGCATCTTTCCAGACCTAGGACCAGAGTATACAGGAAGTATTCCATAATGGACTTTAGCCTCTAACTGAACTGCTCTAATATTATTCCTATAACAAGACTCCTTTTAAAGAGTCTCATTATTGGCTTCATTAGATATGTTACTTGCATCAGTGGCTGTAGTTATGTGTATAATATAGGAGAGGTTAACATAGCGTATTTTTTATGTATTATATGGCATACAGCTTGAAGTAGCCAAAAGGTTTATGGCGATGTAATTGGTAGTTAGTGTGAAATTTGTAAGACAAATAGACAATATCTAGGGTAACCCCTCTAATCCTCATCTTTCAGTTTTTTACAGCCACCAAAGGGCCTCATTAAAACAGCAGTCAGCACCTTAGTGAAAAGATAACAGTGCTTAGAGTGCCCAAATGTGACAGAAAATCTGCATTTTGTAAATCTGACACCTTTGATAGATTATACAGTGTGAAGCCATTTCTTCTAAGCATTATGATAACGCTTAAGATTCTCTTCTGAATCCAACTTTGCTATATTCACCAGCTATAACAATGTGAAAAAGAGCCAATTGAATAAAATGAAGCTTAGAAGGTGAAGAGGAACCTTTTTCTATGCCACGAAGCTCTTTGCAGGCAAAGGGGCTGGAACGCAGTCATTGGCATTTCCAAGGACCACTTAATCTTGGGGGTAACATTCCTTTAAATATGAGGATGCTGCTTATGAATACGCCAGCATTTGTGTACAACAACATGTAGGCTTCTAGGACAGAGGAATAGTAGTTTTATTTTCTACATGGGAAAGATTACTGGCTTTTCATATTTTTTTAAACAGATTAATGTTTTACAAGGGTACCCAGGCTAAGGGAATTAACGAAAACCTTACTCTTCATTTCACAAAAAGACCCTGTGAAATCTGAGACTTCAGAATGAGGAGGTCCAATGCAAATGATGTAAAACCAAGCAAATCTTCTAATTTAGTTCTAGGTAGCTGCCGGAACAGAGCAGGACAAATGAAAATGACACCATGAATTGTAGAAGCATGACTGCAGTGATCTTAAGCAAAGACTGCCTCCCTTCAAGCCCTCACCATACCTTTCCCCAAGCCAGAAGATTTTGGCATGGTCCCTTTCACTCTGAGTCTCATCCCCAAGGCCTCTTTCAGAAAGATTGCATGGACAACTGACAACAAAGGTGGAAACTCAAATTGTAGGGCCTATAGAAGAAATAGTCTTCAGACATTCTGTTACATGTTAACGTACATTTTCATAGCTTCTTGGAGGAAGAAGGGAAGGCGTAGAATAAAACTTCCATATGATTTCATCTCTATATTGGCCCACAATTTGAAAATGTTTACTAATTATGATTGGGCCAAAATAGAAGGTGACCTCTCTTGAGCCCTTTGTGTCTGCCTGTGATTGAGGACTGTTCTTGTATGTATATATTTCCAGCAATTCTTACAAAAGTAGAAAAGCCCATTCCCCACTCTTCCAAGCTTTCCATCTTTCTGGTCAAATGATATTAAAATGAAGTCTTTTGTTTTAAAACTTCTAAAAAGATGACCAGACCATTTTGGCCTGTATAGTTTATGTATTTTATGATGAATTCAGATTGCTGCTTAATATAGCAGTGGAGTATCTTCAGTAAAAATTGAAAAGTAGAAGAGATGACTAAAAAGCATGTTGTGTTATTTTTGTTTTAACCCATAGCATAATAGAGTGTTATTTGTAAGCAGCTGTAATTCAAATGAAATAAAACATATCTGACCATTGTTTATATTTTAATATTGAAAGTCTTCGAGGACAGATTGATAATCATATTTAAACATGCCAAGGTAATTGCCTGTCTTTCTTGTTAGATATACTTAACCATATATACCTCCTGAAATTTCCTTTTCAGTATTTTATGTGTACTCATTTTGAATCTATTTTCTGAAAGGGTTAGGATTTTTTTTTCCCATGCGATAAAAGAAACCAGTTTTCATTTAAATGTTCCCATTTAGGTATTTGCAATTATTAATAATACAGCATACAAAAGGAAACATTTCAATGACAGGAACCTTGAAACAAATCCTTGAGAATTTGGAATGGCTATTGCTTTCTCTTATAATAATCTGGGGCCAGTCACCACTTTTGTTGAATTCAGTGTGTGGTTCCGTGTGTGTGTGTGTGTGTGTGTGTGTGTGTGTGTGTGTGTGTGTGTTTGAGGGTCAAAGCTATTAAATTTTAGTCAGTTGCTAGAGGGAGTGGCAGGCCTCTTGACTGAGAAATCTACTTGAAATTACTCTTTGGGAGAAAAAAAAAAAAGATAGAAAATTGCCTCATCAGACCCATCTTTCAACCAACAAATCCTGTGACTCTCACTGTTCTTAATTGTTGACCCCTACCATCTGTGTCATGCAATGTGGTAGGAACTCTCCCTTCAAATAAAGATCCATGCTACCTCATCAGAATGTACTTGTTAAAAGTGATAATGGTTCACAATCGGTACTTAGCCATGTGAAATACAATATCCCCTTTTAAAATGTGGAGGTTTCAGGCCTAAATTAATACCTTGGTATGTAAGTCATTACATTATCTGAAAATCATTTGATACGAAGGAGAAATATCTGTGAGATGCTTTTGTTATCCAAAGGGTTTGAATTGCTGAATTTATTTAATTTGCGAAAGGGAAGTTATTGTGTGATGTCTATGGCTAATTGCTGGAAGTCATTTAGCCTTTAAAAAGCTGCCTTTACATATGTAGCACCAGCACCGGAAAATGTATTTTAGGAAGTTATATATGTTTTTTCATCAAGTAAACAAAAAGCATTTGAAATATATCTGGCATTATATTCGTGGAACTGGACTTTAAAAAATCACAACCTTATCCAGTGAATTCTCTGAGTGTATGTGGCTTGCCTTGCCCTGCAAAATGAACTTAAAGGGGCATTGTGAATAGAATATGTGGGTTTAAAATTCAGTGGATTATTCACATCTGTTAGGTGAGAATTAAAGAGCGCTGAAATAATGTATTCTTATGTTTTAGAGCTATCACTGCCAAAGGCTACTGACTAGTAAGTATCAACATCTGTGTTACCTCTCCTTTTGATTTCCTGATTCGATGTGTCTAAACATTTCATTTACTACTGGAATTTTTAAAAGTAGTTTTAAGCCTCTGTTTGATGTACTAATTCATTGAAAGATATTATTAGCAAATATTAGTTAAGGGATTATATGTACAATTAGCGCAAAATAACATTTACCGAATGTTGTGATTCGTATTATTGAAAGGACGTCAGACTCTTGAAATGGTAAATAATGGAATAAAAATAAATAAAGGTACCTGTATTTTGACAGTGATATTCCACCTCTGGTTTCCCCATGCGCAAGCGTAAACACACACTCTCTCTCTCTCTCTCCGTCTCTCTCTCACACACACAATCATTCAAATGCCTTTTCTTTCTCTGACAAAAATATTCATTAAAAACATTTCACTGTGCTGCCTTTTAATATAGCACGGGCATTCAACCTGCACGGGAAGCTTCCTGGAACCGCACAAATACTGTGTAATTATCTGGTGGCTCCCTGCTGGCTGCTGCATATTCCAAGCACAAAGTGAGCAGCGCATTTCTAGAGCCTGACTCCTGTCTTCATTGTCCCTGCTTGGAATATGAAGCCTCACTTCATTATAGTAGACCTGATCAAACTTGATAGATTTAGCCATTATTCTTGACTGTGTCAACTTTCCACAGTTTTCCACCCCCTCTCCTTGGACTCTTTTGTTTTGCCACCCAGGGAATGCAGAATATTCTGAGTCTAGGCTTCTCTCTTTCTCGCCTCTTCTTCTCTTTCTTCCCTCCCTCTCTCTCTGGGCTCTCTTAATCCCCCTCCTTCTCCCTCCACCCCATTTCTTTCACTATCTCCCCCCCTCTTTCTCTCCCCTCTCCCACCCAAACAAACCAAGGATTCAACAAATAATGTTCTTTCCACATCATGTGATTCAAGGAAAATAAGGCTGCAATTTTTCTCTCAATTGTCCTCTTTGGTTTTGAGTTTTCCGTTACTATAAAAGAATTCTGCAGCAATGTTGACACACAAGGCAGAAATTCTTTGAAAATCCTTTTATATTTCCTGTTAGTAGCACAGTAACTTTTGCTCTATGATGTTGTGATGGTTGTTTTTTTTTGTTTTTTTTTTTGGTCTGTTTTATGACAACTTTCAAGGAGCACTTCAGAGTTCATATTTTCAAGGATCATCCACATCAGTGTATCTTATCAAATTTTATAAATGCCCTAGTGCATTTTCTTTGCAAAAGGCATTAGATCATTCTCTAGGCAAATACAGATGTTGATACAACTGGTTTAGCATAACGGATTGCTTGTAGTATTTGAGAGTTCCTATGTAACAATAGAGAATTATATCATAGCTCTAACAAAATTTTAAAGTATCAGAAAAAGAACGCAACCCACATTACCATAATTAGGACCACACTGATCCCTCAAACTGTCATGGAACAAGTTAACCAATATGTCAGGAATTGTTACTGAACTTAAAATACTTATAAGGTCAATTTATCGTTACCCTAGTTAATGAATATTTTGTGGTGAGATTTAATTCCTTGAGTTTTAATTTATTTCTTTTGCACATATAGCCCTTGGGTGGATCTCAAATGCTATTTAAAAGTTAAAAAATAATGCTTATGTTAAAGTCTGCTTATTAAGTGCAAATTATTAGTACAGTAAAAACTTAAGGGCCTTAGAAAGTTCTCTCACTCTCAAGAGTATCTCCACACCCCAAAACACTGCCAATCCTTTTAAATTTTTATTTTTTGAAAGCAAAAGCCAGGCTCCCAACATGGTGCTTTTCAACAAGTTTGCTCACTTATTCTTATTGTAGCTTCTGCTTTTATGCCACAGAAATAAGGTAAGACGCTAGTATGGCATGAATTTAATATTATCCTGCTTAAATTTAAAATAAAATAATTATTTTTTAGAGTGGCATTTTCAGTCACACCAAAAGCTTCATGGCATCTTAAAATGTAAATTGCCGTGAAGCAACACAAAGGAGAAAGAGAAGATTTTGAAGGCAATCGCACTGATCACTTAATTCAGTAGCTGCATATCCACTTGGCATAAGGTAATTAGAGTGCCACATTGCTGTAAAGACAGAAAGCTTAGGGTCCCATTCTGACTCACCCAGACGATAATACATGATTAGAAGTCAGTGACAGATCACAACTGCTGAATGACCCACCAAGGTCTTATCAAGGGCAAATCGCATAATTAGCATGCACTTCACTGGCAAAGGAGTACAGTGCTATTGTTCCCGCACAATCAAATTAGCCCCGCCAATGAGGTCAGTGTTCTGTGACCTTAGAGACATTTTATGTCTTATTCCCCCTCCTTGTCTCTCACATACACACGTGCAATATGCACACATGTACACACTTAAACTGAACCTAAGTTCTATGGACACTCCACACATGTTTTATAGAGGCATTTTTGAAGTACACTCCATTGACTCTTTAGTTCATCATATGTGGAATGAGGAAACTAGCTAATGTAGTCTGACCCTGGGGAACACATATGTAATGGAGCTACTTTGACATAAATTCAAGCATCTAGTGAGGCTCTGATCTCACATTATTTGCTCTTAATACATCTGCAGCATCCCATGTGTACTAATGAAGTCTCAATTCAAGCTGCAGATCTCTCCTTCCTTTTGGCAGTCAAAATGACCTGGCTGATTTGTCCACTCTGCCTCCATCCCAGCTACATTTTCCTCAAGCACTATGCATTTCTGTGACCCTAAACTTCTCTCAGAAAGGGCAAAATTTGGAAAATGGCTGAGGCCCCTCATAGCTCCAGACCATTCTTGCAGCCGGAGTACCCCTTACTGTGCCACCGATGGCCCACTGAGTGTAGCTGTCATAGGGTCAGAGGCTTCCCCTGCTGGGTGACATGTTGGTCTGTGATCTGAAAAGTGGGCATCTTCTTTTCATTTTCAGCAATGTGGGGAATCCTGGAAGAGCCCTTCTGTGAAACAACTTGACTGACTAGCAAGGAGCCTGTTTTGTTTTCCAGCTTGAAAGTCACTTTTTGATTTGTTCTACACACTTCGTCACGTGTTCACTGCACAGGAGAGGTCGACTGGCACTCTGCACTGAGCAGAATCATATGTTACCCTCGCCCTGCCATTTCCATCATTCCACTGTGCTCTCCCTGAACCAGGTATTATCATCACCCACACTCCTGAATTCCATTCTGCTGGCATTACCTGCCTCCATACTTTCTACTGATTCCTTTAAAGACATGTTTACATCCTATCAAATTAAAGCCAAGTTTTGAGTCCTCTAAAGAGGATGATGAAGATATTTTGTTCTCTTAAGAGCTAAATAATTTCAAGTTTTCATTCTTCGAATCTTGCCCAAACATGACTCACAATTTACTACTGTTAAGATAAGGCTCACATGAGCTGAGATTTCATGACATTCTCAGAAACATGTAGTCCAAATTTTAGCGCTAATGAGAAGTCTAGGGAATATTGATTTGTATAAAAGGGAGGGGCTCTGGCTCGAGGCTATTGTTCAGGGAGTGGGGGCTGCCTGAGTTGTGGGAAGCTTTGGATTTGTGGTGCAATCAAGAAGCAGTGGACTGAATTGAATATCAGATGACTTGGGCCTAGCCCTGGCTTTGAACTTGGCCAAGGCTTTTTTAAATTCTTGGCCTGGATGTCTTCATCTGCAAAATGACTAGATTTGGCAAGAGGCTCTCTCTGGTGTCTCCCAGCAATAACATTCTGTATTTCTAAAACATGTATGAAAGCTTTGACCAGTTCATCTGGTCAGATGTACGAACCAGTTGCCGTCTTCAATGTTTGCGTGTCACAGCTGTGACCATTGTAACTAATAGCAATGTTGCAGGTAGTGGATTCAGACCTTGGAAATCTAACAGCACAAGGAAGAGAGGGATGCGAATGTATCTCTTGTTTATAAGACTTCATCTTCTCTCACCCTAGACACATACACCTTCTGTAATTAAACACTAAGGAAAGCGAGAAGCCAGTGAAAGTACAACTGAACTTATGTTTAAATAATATGTTTCCAAAGTGTCACTGACCAGGCAAGTTTATCTTTGAGCCAATTAAATAATTCTAGCTCCACTTTGGCCTCTTCTGTAATTGCTGTATTTTGTGACACTTACATGTTAATAGGTAATGCATGTTTACAACTGTGTTGTGGTGCTCCCATGCATCCAAACATATTTTCTTGGGCAAATGAAAGATTTTGATTGACTTCTATTTTCTGAAGCTGAACTCCATGAATATTTTAAAAGAAGGAGATTTAAATTAGAGTTTAGTAGTATAGGGTCCTCCCTAAGAATTTATTTCTAAAGTATAGTTCATCTATTATAAATGCCTTGGCCATTTGTGCTATATACAGGGATAAAACTTTTCTTCTTCTATAGCACAAAGATAATTTCTAAAGGTCTTGTTGATTTTGCAAATACAGGGACGTTTCCCTTCAATGAGAATTAATACTGTCTGTCTATAGAATGGCAGCAGTATTCAGCATGCCACAAAAGTTCCTGAAAACATTGTATTTATAATGATTGTGATAAGCTATTCCATCCTCCTGGTGTTTAGCCTTCATGGTAACTTCTTTTTGATGAAAAATTATAGAGAATTATGCACAAAGGAGCAGTTTTTATACTTGTAATGGAAATATTAAAAAGAGACCCATTTTTACAAATTCTCTATCTAATAGAGATTTTACAGCATCTGTAAAATATAGACACTGCATCTTGCAGCACTGTTTCTGCTGTTAGGGTGTGTGCTGATTTGTATAAGGTGTATATTTTCATATGTGTGCTCTGGGTACATTATATATATTACATATAAATATAAATCATGGTACCCAAAGTCTCCAGGGGACCCCCCCCAGCCCTTAGTCATCCAGTGCAAACCATGAAAGTCCCCTAACAAACAGGATTAAAATTCACTCCTTTCAACCATCCCAGGCATTTATTCCTTCCTTTTCATTGAGCTACATTTGTCTGATTTAACAAGATAAGATTTGAGTGCTGATGCAGCCCGTTGTTAATGTAGCAGCCGCATCCACCATACCATCGACACTCGGCATCAGAGGAATGCATAAATCAGGTATTCAAAAAAAATTAGATATGCAGCACACCAGTTTTATAGTCCCAGCCTCAGAAATTGAAATGGCCCAGATTAATGTATTATATCTTACACACTGTCCGAGTGAATCAACTTTAATATATTGAACAGATTCGCAGAACAAGACTTTGTTATCTAAGGAGCACTCGGAAGAAGGAATTGACCTGAGGATTTGATTTGGTTCAGGTAGTTCATGTTGTACAGCAGCATTTGAATAGTTTCACATAAAAATAAAATTTGTATTAGAAATATTTCACATCATTTCTGGGCTCATCCACACGGCAGCTTTGCAGAGGGCCAATATTACAGAAACAATATCCGGCCAAGTTATGATTTTAACCTTTGCTTCTGACATGGCAAAACAATATAATTGTAATTTTAATGCAAGCTGCTGTTTCTCAGCAAGACAGCTTGTACAGGCTGACTTTAACTAGTTTGGATTTTGACTGGAAATGAAATGCCCATTGAATTGCTCATACAATAGAAGCACCACAATTTGTAGCATTCCATTCCCAAAGGCTCAGTCGGGGCTGAAGCTGCTCTGTGAAGAAGCTGCTTTTTATACTGTTGGATGCCTTTCCAGGAAAGGACCAGCCTGGAAGCAATGCAAGGTTGTGAGGACAGTATCTCTTTTCTTTGCCAGGCTGGGATAGCCATGACTGGGAAATAGTTTTGGGATTTGAACTCAGAGATGATGTGATCTTTCCCCTGATCACCTGCAATAGAGGAAGGATGGGAAGAAGAAGAGCAAAAATTGAAGTCTAGAGAGAAATAATCTGCATTTGGGGAATACGTGCCAAAGTGTTTCATTCTTCCACACTTTCTTTTTTCTGTTTTAAATGCAGCTACATTCTAGAGGACCCTCTTTGTGTAACTGCAAGACCTGCAGGACTGTGCTCTCTTCCCAGAGTGACAATGATGGAGCCTGAAATCATATCTTATACTTATTGGCAATGTCAGCTATGTGATCCACGACAGACTATAAACTCCACCCTACCCAGAGGTGGCATTCTATTTAATGCATTTGATAGAACAAATGCTAGCGGTAGTGACAATTTTCTCATTGAACTCAGAAAATCTTTGTTATTTCTAAAGTGTTTGGAATGACAGAAATAGGCAGAGACAGACATTAAATGTAAAGACAGTAAATAGACACAAAACTGGCCAAACACTAGTTCCTGTTACATTTACATGCAAAGTAAACAAGAAGTCAAAAAAAAAAAAACACAAAAAAACACATACTTCATCCTTAGGACAATACTACAGCCCTTGTTGGCAAAGATTCTTTTGCCTATTTATTTACCCAATTAGTCTTGCCTGTTTTTCATACCTTTAATTTATTCTAATTTTTAACTAAAAGGCATGCTTTGGTTCATTCAGCCAACCTCATAGGTAGATGGCTAATGTTCCTGGTTTTTCTGTGGTTGGTGGAGCTGTGTGTGAACATGTCTGACATCAGAAATCTGACTATGCTTTTGTGACTGTTTCTGCTTCTGTTTTCACCTGCCCAATTCTCCCTTTTCAGATGTCAATACTAATCTTTTTATTGACTGGAAACTCAGCCCTCTTTCCCTTCTCCCCTACCAACCCAATCCGGGCTGGGACCCACTGATGGAAGAGGGAAGCTTGTCCCCTCAGGGTCTTGGACTTGGAAACCATCTGATGGCCCCTCTGAGGACACAGGTCAAGGCCCAAGATAGTCTTTGAGCAGGGCAAGGGTCAGCAGGGCGAGGGTCCCACGTGCCACTTGCCATATAATTGCAGACGCTGGCATTCATTCCTCTCCTTACATCCTGTATTACCCCTTGTCCCAGTGTTTGCCTATTAGCTTTTTAGGTACTGATTTAAATCTATTTTTCCCAAGAGAACTCAAAGCTCTTTAAGACTGTCTTTTTCATATATTCCTCATTCTTAGCACAGTGCCTGGCACATAATAGGGTTTCACTAGAAATCAGTGAATTCATGTATTCATTCATTCAGTGAATATTTTTGAATGCCGCCTCTGTGTCAGGCACTGTTCTAAGCCCCAGGGATACAGCCGTGAACATAACAAAGCCCCTACTCTCACAGCACTTACACTTTAGGGTGGGAAACAGATATTGGCAAACAAACATGTTAAATGAGCCATATGAAATTACCAATATATGACCAGATGAGATCTAGAAAAATAGAAATTTCATATGGTCTGACCTAATACACAGCATATCATGTGGAGATAATGAACATACCAGTGCAGTCATGGTGTTTGACAACATTCTCTGAGCCATGTTATGATTTGAAAGGTTCCAGCTCCAGCTTAGTCTACTTTCACATAATAAAATTGTCCAAAAATCATCAGAAAAAAATGGAGCACCATTAGTCAGATGGAATGTAATAGTTGCTCTCATGGCTATTGAAACAACAATCATCACATCCTGTTATGTGTGTGTTACTCTACATAGTTGGCATGGCAGAACCAGTCCTTTTTTCTGTACTTGGGGGTCTCAGCATATCCTTAGAGCCCTAGAGAACCAGCCTGTGCCAAGTACCTGTGTGGCGCGGGCTGGGTCTCTGGCCAACAGGATTCTCATTGAGCCACAGTGACTCTTCTCCCTCATGGGTTCAGGCCCTTCACCATGGTTCTGGTAAGTAAAGCTGCCATTCTGGGGAGAGTGATTTGGGGGCTGGTAAGCAAAAGGAAATGAGACCACACAACGTGTTTCCCCACCTCCTTGCCCAAGCTGAGGAATGAATGCCAGTGTCTGCAATTATATGGCAAGTGGCACATGAGACCCTTCTCCCCGCTGACCCTTGCCCTGCTCAAAGACCATCTTGGGCCTTGACCTGTGTCCTTAGAGGGGCCATCAGATGATTTCCAAGTCCAGGACCCTGAGGGGACAAGCTTCCCTCTTGCAGGCACACTTGGTGCATTATTTCTCATGGCATGTTCTTGTAATATTCGGCTTTGACAGCACAGTCTCTGAGCGTGCATAGGAAGGTGTCAAAAAAGTGCTAATACTTCTGCTTGTTCAGATCATTAATTTTCTCAAAGAAATACTAAATAAAATGACTTTTTTTTTTTTTGAGACAGAGTCTCGCTCTGTCACCCGGGCTAGAGTGCAGTGGTGCTGCGATCAAGCTCTGCCTCCCGGGTTTACACCATTCTCCTGCCTCAGCCTCCCGAGTAGCTGGGACTACAGGCACCCGCACCATGCCTGGCTAATTTTTTGTATTTTTAGTAGAGACTAAAAATTTCACCGTGTTAGCCAGGATGGTCTCGATCTCCTGACCTCGTGATCCACTCGCCTCGGCCTCCCAAAGTGCTGGGACTACAAGCATGAGCCACCGCGCCCAGCCTAAAATGACGTTTTTAAAAAGCCCTCCTACACTGCTATTTTTAAAGTTTTATTTTAAATCTTGTGCCCTTAAATGGCTCTTTTTCCCTTCCACTTAGAATTATTTTTCCAGATTAAAGTTCATAACTCTTTTATAAAATATATATCATAAATATTTTTGCATATTTTAAAAAATTATATAGCAAACAGTGATGTTTGGGAGCTTTTGCTAGAATTATAAAGGATTTTTTTTTAAGGAAGTCCAAAGCAAAGTCCAAAGCAGAGGGAAGCTGCTGCAGAAGGGAAAATGATGACTTTCTGCCCCTCTATGATCCTGGGGTTGGTAGATGGCTTTTCATCTCTAGCTCACTGGAACTGACTGAAGGCAGAGGTCATATGTCTTACTTGGAACATCTCTATAGTGGCTGGTACAGGGCTCTGTGCACAGGGTAGGCTAGAATGGCATTTATAGAGAAATCATCTCAGCTGTCACTTATTAAGCACAAACAATGTGCTACATCTTACCAGACCCTACTTTGGGAGAATATTTTTCCCATTTTACAAATAGGCAAACTGAGGCCCAGAGGGTTCACTGGGTGTCTAAGATTACATAGCTAGCAAGTGACAGAGATGATCCAAACGCAGGTCTCCACCTCTAAAGTCCTTGCCCTCTCCACTCTATTACTAAGCTTCTGACATGGTCGAGTTCTCAAGAGAGGGTAGGTACATCCAAACTGTTGAGCAAAAGAATGCATTTGTCATTAGGAAGTGGTTGAGTTACTCAACTCAAATTAAAATCAGGGTCCATTGTGTATCTATTCTAGGCTTGTTAGGGTTCATTCTCCTCCCTTTCCCAAAAACTTGAGCCTTCCTGAGACCTCTCTCCTTGACCCCACATACCCTGACATCTGGCAACAGGAGACCCTCATAGTAAACTGCACGATGGATGAGAACTGCTCTCCTGCCACACCACTTCCTACCCTTGTCCAAACAGACAACTCTTAGAGATCCACAAACATCTTTCAGCAGTCATATGACATTCTGTTCATTAAGATAAAAAATAAAGTGGCTCAAACCCCAATTTATGGATTTCCCCAAGGTTTCCAGAGACTTGGAAACAGGAAATGCTATATTCTCCCAGGCACCTCAAGCTCTAAATTCTTGCTTTCTCTGAACTCTCTCCACAATGCTTGGCTATGCTAATGAGTACTGTCATCATTCTCTCAAGTACCACAAAATTGAGTTATTACACATAATATGCATTTATTGATGATGTCCCAGTAGTGGAGAGGGATTACAGCACAGAAGAGAAAACATCTTTAAATTGACCATGTGGCGTCACTGCTCTTACAGTTCCTTGAATATCCTCATTGCAGGGTGTATCCTCCCTGGGACTCAGTCCCTGACCATTAAACTGGGGCTTGTTCTTCCTGCTGTAACCTTTTTACAAGCATCTGTTCTCCCCTCAAATCTCCAGCCTTACTCCAGTCCTCCAAGCCTACCAGAGGAAAACTGAAAATTCCTGTAAAGTTATTCTGCAGAGTGACTTAAGACCACTTTTTCTCATTTCATACTTTGCACAGGCCTCTAATTTGTATAACTAAGAAGACTAACTCACTGGTTATCTTCAACCGTCAACCATCTACCACTGAAATGATTTCCGGAGCTTTTCTGGAAAGCACAGGGTGCTCCCATCATCTCATTTTGTACATCACATCTTGCCCCTCATACTGACTCTTTTTTTGTACTACTAGTCTGATTAGGGTTGATCGCATTCTAGGAGTCAGCTAGTAGCTGACTCCTTTCTCTCCTCGCCTTTCTCTACTCCTTCCACATACTTGTTTAATGTTTTGGGAATATTTTTGGACTCCAGAAACCATGTTTGGGGAATCCTTGAAGCCATTACTCTTTAGGGGCTGAGGGCTAGTCTGTCAATCAATGTGCTGGGCCTCTGGTTGGTTTTTTCTCTGTCCTCAGCTACCCTGTGATACAAATGCCACATGGACATGAGCCTAAGTCACTTCTTTCCATCCAGAATGAGACTGGATTTGGTTGTAATTCACATACAAATATACCATCCCCAGTACCTTAACTAATCTGTAAGGCAACTATACATTTAACCTTCTAAATAGTGATAATTTAAATGTCTGCTACATATTAAACATTTTCTAAGTGCAAAGTACCATGTCTAACATATATCATTAAAGCTTTATCAAGCAATGTGTCATAGAAATTGTTAGCCCATTTTACAGGTGAAGAAACTGAGGCACCATGAGTTTCATAGCTTGTACAAAGTTACAGAGTTAAAAAGAGGGAGAAAAGATTGCAATTTGAGCCTTTTTGTTTCTAGAGCACAAGTTCTTAACCATTCTTTTTTTATCACCACCTGTCCCACCAGTGATATATAGATATCTACTCCAATTCCCGTGTGATAAAAGGCTGTCTTTATATGTAATCTAAGCAAGTGAGCCCATGGCTATAGGTCAATAATGGACAAATTCACCAGTCCATTAAAGCCAAGTAAAGAGAAATAGAGGTTCCACAGAATCAAGCATTTTTTTTTTACTATAGCTAATCTTATCTTTGATTTAATTATTTATATTCCTGGAACAGCCTCTTATATTCACTTAATAAGCTAGCTTCATCAGAACATCTTCAACAACTTATTGCCTATTTATCCCTCCTTTGTTTCTCACTGGAAATTTCTTACAACATATCCTAGCCTGGAGATCATCAAATGAGTCAATTTTTCTAAAGTCTATCAAGCACTGGGATCATGTCTGTGACAGCTAGTTGTGGGAGTGGATAGTTGATTTTATGGTGCTTTTAAAGGATGATGTTTGGACTATGATTCAGAATGCTCTTTGTTGGTTATCTTACATACTTAGAATGTTTTAGGTGTGCTTACTTGAACAGCATGGTTCTTTTATGTGCCTCCTTTAAAAATGGTGCTCTGCTGGTAGAAGGCCTGGTGAGTCATCAGTGCATGGTGATGGAGAACCACACTTTAATGAAAGCAGGCTGTTTGTGGGCTCCTGAAGGACCTCTTACACTTAGGCTTGCCGTTACCATGAGACTTCACAGAGGCCACTAAGAGAGCCCTTATTTTCTAAACACCTTTAAGAAAGGGGGTACAAGGATCTGAAAGAGACTAAGAAACTCTTGGCAATGTTCTCAGAGCTGGTCTAAATAACACCAACATTAAAAAAAAAAAGTTAAAGTAGAAAACTCAGTCAATCAATCAACTAAATGTTTTGATTTTCAACATCTAGATACATTCAACATTGGTCTCATGGGAACAAAGCCATAGTATTTTCTTGGCCAGTGTTCCAAATGTGGTGGAGGGACCTGGATATTCTGGAGATGTTTTTGTCTTTCAGATGGTGAAAAGATTATCTTAAGCTTGGAATTAAGTGATGAAAGGGACCTTCGAAATTATCAACTCTAAATACTTCTTTACAGGTGAGTGCCAGTGAGGATATGACGTCGCCAGTCTTAGTCACATTGCTAATTTCAGAGGCAAGAGTGAAACAAAGTTCTCCTGCTTCCAGTTGCATCTTCATACAGTTGTCATCCTGTATTTTCTTTTGTAAGGGGAAAGAAAAGTGGCAGCTGGAATACTCCACCTTTGAAATTAGTTAGATTTTTCTGTTTCCAAATACAGACATGATTTTGCCTGCATAGGTGAGATTTACAGCACACGTTGGGCCATCATCATGATTGTCCAGTATGTAGGATGAATATATTGTATGTGCAAAGCTCCAGACAACGCCCGAGAGAATGAGAAGAGCTGGAAGACACCACCCCACACTTTATCTGATGGTTGTGCCGTTGGAAACAATCATTTGTGCAAACCTAGTACTTCAGAGAAAATAACACAGCCTGAAGAAAATCAGGTCTTGACTCAAATGAATCTTGACTGTGTTCAGCCTTCCCTGAAACCCAACTTTTTTCCTGAGAATGTGTATGTAAAGGAATTTTGAGAATATTTGAAGAATGCAAATAATTATATTTTCTTAGTGTAGTTAAGAAAAGGATGTGTGTGTGGGAGGAAGAGTAGACGTGCAGTGACCGCACTAACAAGTATTGTCCCCCCAATGTATATTTAATAGGATAAGGATGGTTTTTTGAAGTTAATGGCATAGAGTTACGATTAAAGTATATGTGATATGAGGGATGTAGGAAAGTCCAACAAATAAGAATGTATGGGCAAGCTCATACAAAGAAGACAAGACTAATTTTATTAGTGTGGTCATTTTTGTTTTAAAGAAAGTCCTGAAGGATTCATATTTTAGAAGATTTGCTTCCAAAGATGCCATAATCTTCTAAAATAATACTCTAAAAATCAATGTCAATGTAAATGTTCATTTCTAATACGAATAAAATTAATCAAACATTTGTTACTATTTCATATATCCAGGCTTTATTATATGCCCTTCATTTTAGGAAAATTGAAAGCAGTTAAGAACCTGCCCCCTACCGTGGAGTTCTTGGTGCCGTGAGTTGGAGTTCTTGGTGCCTGGGTGCGTCCCCAAGGCCACTGGTCTTCAGATCTTTCTTACTTGAGAAGAACGCCTCCGCCTCCTGGCTCTCCCACCAGTGGTATTGCCACCACCACACACCAGCATAAAGCACAGATTGCTGCCCAGCTCCTTGGAGAGGGGCCAGTGCATTTGTCAGGAATTGAAAAGTTTTGGAGCCAGTTCGAGGACTTTCTCCTGCACAAAGTGTTGGCTGGAAGCATGGTGAGTATTAAATGGGATGTTAATTTTCATGAATATTTTCCCCATGGTTGTAGCTTGTGGTCATTGAGCAATTTAGCAATCACCATGTGGTCTGTTGGACACACAGCCTGGATGAAGTTCAAGAAATTAGAAGCCAGTCAGTGGGGACAAGGCCAGAACTCAAATTCATGTGTTTTCACTTTCTTTCTTTTTTTTTTCCTCCCACCTCAGGGGATGGTTGCTTCTTTATTACAACTTAGGTGCAACCATATGCCTGAGATCCCTTTGTACCACCCATATTGATGTTCCTTCACATTTTCACTCATTTCATTTTAGCTCATGTCTGTCAGACTTGTATTCTGGCTGTAAAATCCATGATTCAATGATTATTTGCCAGTTCATTCTTTGCCTCATCATGTAGGGTAGATTGCATCATTAATTCCAAGGACACTTATGTATGGTACAAGGCGTAAACGATTTCATACTTATCTTCAAAGTGAGAGGGGTTTGTTGGAATTCTGGAAATTACAAGCCTGTAAGAGAAGAAATTTTGATACAACGACTATGGAAAATCAGGGTCCTGTATTTGACGTGAATACCATCTTATGTTTTTACGGTACCTTTCCTACATCATATGATTGCAATTAACTTTCACAACACTTTGTGAGACGTCTAAGGCAGGAACTCTATCACAGTTCCTTCATTACCCATCCTATAGTCCTTAGAAGTGAAACTATGTTGCTCAAGCGGACACAGCTAGGAGTGGAAGACCTCCTGCTCCACCCACATTCTCCTTCCTCCCTATCAGCCCTCCCCCACCTCAATACCCAAGCTGTGTCATTAGAAATTTGTTATGGATAACAAATATAGCACGATTCTCCCATGACTTATTTTTCTCGGTTTTTAATAAATTGTAGCAAGTCAAATTTTTATTCCCATTTGTTAATATTCCTGCATGCTTTCTTGAAGAGAAACAGAGTGGATGGAAATGTCATATATGCTCTAGGACAGCAATCCCCAACCCTTTTGGCACCAGGGACCAGTTTCATGGAAGGCAATTTTTTCATGGACCAGAGATGAGGGAGTGGTAGGATGGTTTTGGAATGAAACTGTTCTACCTCATGTCATTAGGCATTAGTTAGATTATCATAAGGATCACACAACCTAGATTCTTCACATGTGCAGTTCACAATAGGGGTTCATGCTCCTATGAGAATTTAATGCCACTGCTGATCTGACAGGTGGCAGAGCTCACAGTAATTCTGGCTCGCCTGCCACTCACCTCTGGCTGTGCGGCCCAGTTCCTAACAGGCCATGGACAGGTACCAGTCTGCAGCCTGAGGATTGGGGACCCCTGCTCTAGGAGTTATGTGTGACACACAGATGTCAGCATATCTCATTGGCACCACCTGAGGAATGGGTGTAGCATGCAAATTGATATTTGACATATTGTTGATGAGAGTTTGCATACCCTCTACTGTGTTAGCCACTTCTGTCTACTGTCTTAGGAGGAGATATTTTATAGGGTCACTTCAATGATTCTCATTATTTAATTGCCACCCATGGTAGAACCCCAGAAGTGAAACTTTTTGATATTCTCTTTTCCAGGATAAAATTCTCTGACATCTGAAGTTGCTTTCTGAGAATTAAATAGTAAATGAATCTGAGATGAATCTTTAAAAGTTCACAAGTAGATTATGTTATTTGTTTAGCCTATGAATAATTACACATATAATCAATAATACATAGTAAAGCACATTAGATGTATTCCCAAATATACATATATATATGCATATATAGAAAATATATGAGCAATCCATTTTTATTCAATATTATTGGAAAATCAATTGATCTGCATATGTAAAATTTTGTCTTCCTTACTTAAAAACTTACCTTTTAAGTATTTTAACAATTTTGATGGACTTTCCTTTGAACTGTTTTACATACTTCTCTTTCAGGAAAGAAAGAGAATATGGAACTCATTTAGTCCTTTTTGGAAGGCTTGTGTTAATACTATAAACAGAATTTATTTGCTCTGTTCTCTGAACACCTTGAAGATTCTTTGAGACATTCTGTCCATTGTATTTTTGCGGCTCTTTTCTTACCGGAATAGCCAGTCTAGTGTTTAGAGGTTTTAGCCTGATGATCTCTAGCATTCTCATAATTTGCTTCTTATCTGCATTGAGCTGCAGCTCACGATATAAAAGCATTAGTATTTCGTGTGAAGTAAGAGTTAATAGGCCCTGAATGATTAGAGTACATATAAATTATGGGGGCTTGATGTTGTGGAATAATAACCCTGAATTGCTGATTCTCAGGCCCCTTTTTTCCACTTTCTCTTTGGTTTCCAGGTAGGATATAAAGAATAGAAGTTGCCTAATAAGTGAAGTGTTACTCTCCATTAAAAAACAATGAGGTGCATATGAATGCTTTAAATCTTACTGGGATTAGCAGTGTTTAGTTTGGGATGACCAAGGGATAAGCAGGGAGCACTTCTGGCTGTGCATAAGAGAGGAGTGTTTTTATTTGTGTTTGTCAAGGATGAACTTATGAGCAAACTACAAAAGGACATTGCCTCTTTAACGGAGGCTCTGGCTTGTGTTCCTGGGAGCTTCGCAGCGTTTGTTCGTAAAGCAGCATGAAAGAGTTGATTTTCATTTTATGTTGTGCTTGTGAGGCATTAGCATGATGTTCTAACACTTGTAAATGAATACAGCTCTCGCCTAATCTGTCATTTTAATGCCTTATAGATTTTATTTCACTCGATGTTGTACCAGATTCTCAATAATAATAATCAACTGCTTTGTTGTTCTCTTGCAGAAATTAAATTTCTGCAGTGAGTGTGCAACTAATAAAAGATGTTGCTTGAGGAAACAAAAAATAAATATGATGAATCATAAAAGTTGGGTGGGGGGAGAAGGGAAGTTGCTCCTAGATGAAAGACAATTACTGAACCAGTGGTGAATGTGTCTGATTCTCATACTGTCAACAGCTTAATAACCGTCACAAAGTCTTTAGCCACTGTACTTATGTCTGAGCATTAACCTCATGGACTTGGCATTTCCCACGATTTCATTGAAAAGCATTAAAATAAAAAGGTGAGGTGGTAAAATCACTATTCTCTTTGCTTTGCACCCTAGATAAGTTTGCTCAGGGTTGCCATTTTGCCACACATACATGTTATCTTTTCCTTGTCATGAGCTATCCAGGAGAGCAGCATCAAGGCAGCTGTGTGGGACTTGGAGTACTGGCAAAGACTGCAAAGTGGAAAATAAACAGTGTGTCTATCACCAAGCTACAAGAACACAGCACTCAGAGCAGTGAAATGACAGTCCATGGCAAGCAACTAATTGGTCACCAGCTTTGGAGGAAATACATTATTCCAGACCTCTGTCATTTACCATGTTCTTTAAACTAGAGAAAAATCTGCCAGGTTGAAGTGTTGGCTGCAACCCCCAAAAGAAAGGAAATAGAGAGTTAAGACTGCGAGGCTGGGCAGGCACTTTGGAGACTGAGTAATTGAAGACATCCATTGCTAGAGAAAGAGTCAGTTTCCTGAGACATAATGAATTCACCCCATTGCGCACAGGTATTGTGTGGGTCCAGCACCAGTTATGTGATGAACGTTGTATTTCACATAGCTTCTGCCTGAGAATACAGGCTCAAGTGAATTCAGCATGTGACCACATTTTTATGAGAGCTGTCCCTTTTTTTTCACAGTTTGTCTCTCTAATTTATCGTTTCACTTGGAAAGGTTGATACATTGATGAGCTACGAAAAGCAAGAGGGAACATGCCCATCTACTAAGAGGAGAAGAGAGCCTAAAACATACACATTCACTAAGGAAGAGAAAGCCAAATGTGAGGTAACAGACACTCACAGGGCTACACCTACAACTGGTCAATTTAAAAATGTTAAAAGTAAGGACCTAATGCATAATCAGATTGACTTAAGCATGTGCACCTCTGTCCCAAACTGGACATATCATATGCAGAAGAGAAGGAATAAGAAGAAACTTCTCACACAAATACGCATTTTATTTATGTATTTAAATGTGCAGCCACATAGACTCTCCCCATTCAGGTTAGCTTGGATGAATGAGGCCTTAGTGTGCACTGAGATTGTGAATTTAAAAACCCAGAGGTCTCGATAGCAATAACTGGTTGTTTATCTTAATCCACAGAAGTATGTAGTCCAAAAATTATAAAATAGTTTAAAATCATGTAGGTTAATAGCTTTATAAATGTAAGCACTGTTTCTTTGATGGGCCTTAAAGGGCCCATAAACTCTTTGGAATTGTACCCTTTAATGTGTATGGATATATGTACATTTTAGAGACGAAGAAGGTCAGTGGTTTTCCTCGGATTCTCTAACAAGTACAAGACCAAAAAGAAGCCAAAAACCTCTTAATTGTGTATACTGAAAGAAAAAGAAGAAGAAAAGAAAAATAGTAAATTTTAAGGAAACCTATGATCAATTGTTCATGAATGTCAGCTCTAAATAGGAAAAGATTTATTAAAAGTAGTTTTTAAAAGTTGTGTATTTTTATAACTTGCTTTTAATCACAAGAATCATCTTAGAATTTCATATGGAATCCTTTTGCATCCATATGACTTCATTTCCATTTTTAAAACAAATATATAACCTAAAAGATGCCCAGACTGTATCTTTGTATTCCTAATCTATGTGTACTATTGTGCTCGTATGCGCATGCACTCTCTCTCTCTGCCCTCTTTTGCCTTTTCAGAAGCAATAACACATGGTTTGCCAAAGAATCTGCATTGAATAATACTGGTGGTGACCACAAGAACATGCCTCTCTGACTGCAAGGAACAAGAGTGACCCAGGGTTTCAGCTGCTGCCTTGGAAATTCATCACAGTGCAAGTCTATGCTTCCCACGGGCTGCTCCCAGCCTGTGAATAAGCCTGGCATCTTTGTTGAGGCAGGCCTATTTCTGGAGATGCAGGATCCTCCGATGGGCGAATTTGGCTCTAGGACTGCTTGATGGCCTTGACAGACTTTCCTTAGAAATGCATGGCAATTTAGGGTTCCTCCACCCTTCCCTCTTTCTCTCCTTCACCTAGGGTCGGACTTGCATCATGGCCTGAAAGCTCCACCAGCCTCTCCTGCCCTCCTCCTCATTTTCTTTCACAGGCATATCCTCTAATAAATTTCTTGCACATTGAATCTCATCTTGGCATCTACTTATTGGAGGATCTGAAAATTCACATTTTTAACACAATAATAAAATTCACATTTTTTCATCATCCACTATATGCCAAGTAATGTGTTACTGTGTAGTCTCATTAAATCCTCTCAAATCCAAGAGATAAGAATTACATTTATTTTACAAGAAGAAAAGCAGTCACTCTGAGAGGTAAAATAATGTATATGGCAGTAGATTGCAGAGTTAGCATTTGAAGAATGTTCGGTTGTACTCCAAAGCCCACCACAAAACTCCACCACTAAACCACAGCACCTTTGGAGCAATTGGAATGACGATTCTGTTCAAATCATATTAATACCAATCACTGTATTTGACTTTTTCGTTTAGATGTGGCTGTGATTGAAAAATCATGGTCTTTGTATATAGTCACCTGTTCTATCTGCCTTTGTTTTGGGGGACTGCCACCTGAAATTCCTGACTTTTACCCTGGGAGGGGCTTGTGCAGAGGATCTGAGTTACTCATCTGAACGGACTGCCTAAAGACACCTCAGTTTGTGTTGTCTGTGCATTCACTCAGCCTCCATAGCTAAACTAAGATGCTGGGAATGAGAGACTGTTCAAGGAGTAGAAGCCTTGCTTCTAGCTTCTATATTCCTCCTACCACCTATGACTTTTAGCGTTGTCAGGGAAGTCATGAGGTTAGAGCTGATTTTTTTTTTAAGAAAATGAGAAACATAAATGTTCTCTTTTCAAGGTTTCTGTTTGATAGTGTTTGCTAGACAAAGTAGAATTTTCACAGTACAAGTCCTTAGCTCAAGAGCTCCACTCAGTCAGCAGTTATTTCATCTGCCTTTTATCCAGCCTTTCTCGTTTAAAAAAAGGAAAAAGAGAAATTTATCCACTCAAAGTGAGCTTTTTGCTAAACTTGTGTCTTTCCCTTGTTTGTCATGTTAATTACATCCCAAACAACCCTATTGCAGAGAATTCTGCAATCAAACCCCAAAGTCCCATCAGATGTACAGTGGCTTTTAAAGTGGACTGATTTTTTATGTAATAATAAATTTAGTGTTATGCTTACCTCTAAATAAATGCAGATTCTGCTTCTTAGAATACCTGCTACTTCGTGTATCGTGTGACCTACTATGGTAAGATGTTTAACCTCTCATTTCTTAATTTCCTCACATTTAAGGCAGAGATAATAATATCTCCGCTATAAGGGTCGTTATGTGCCATGTGTTATATGATATGCATTTAATTCATGTAAATGTGTGTGAAATAAATAACCAGATCTTGCCCAGTTAATTTTTGGTGAGGCAATTTGACAGTTCTATTGTAGATAGACCTATTCAGCAAACTATCCATAAGAGAGAGAGTTTATCTGAAATCGCCTTGGCTGGACAATACTTGTGGGTTCAGATACCTTTAGGAAGTGATTTTCACCACGAATGGCAGAATTTAAGAGATCTCAACTGAATGAACATAGATAGGTGCTCAATGAATATTACAAAACTAAGTCAACAAGGGAATGTGGCATAGAATGAGCTTGGTCCTCCAAGGTGAAAAAGCTAATGCCTGCATTAGTAAAGGGTTATTCCATTAACTCATTTTCAGTTAATACAAGACTAATTATTCAAGTATTACTCAAATTCCCTTTAATATTAACATTGTGTGTGGAGATTACATATTACAAAAACATTTGAGGATTAAACCAATGTATAAGTCATTAAAATTATTCTGTTGCAGGGGTGGGGTGGTGAGGACTATTTTATTACCGTGCAGAAAATTCCCTGCTCATCTAAAGTGAGATCATACTCACCTTCTAGCCTTGTCTGCTTGTTTATAAACTCCAGCAGGCAAAACAGTGCCAAAGGACACACAGAGATTTTCCCAAATAAAGTGCTAAAATGGTGGTCAAAATGTTGGCAGTATAAGTTTATCACGTGATATGTTAATCATAGTTACAGACTGACTGGGAAGTGTTAGTTTAAGAGGAAAAAAGACGAAGAACTTTACCTGTCTTAAATAGAGAATTAAACTCATTTTGGAGGGAGAGGGTTTGAAGTGGTTCCTAATTGGATGATGTTGGCTGGTTTCATCTCAATCCTGAAGGGATCTAGAAATACAGTAGGGTCCCACATTAGCTTTATATGTAATATGGAAGCAGCTTAATGGGGCCTTATAAAGCTTAATTCAGCACTCTTATGCAAGAAGAAATGTCATAACCCAAGGACCACCTAAGAATGAGAAATATTAATAAAAGGAATATTTGTGGGGTCCTTGGCCAAGCTTTGGTGTGGATCTCCAGAAAATTTATGAGAGAGGCAAATTTGCTTTTTTGTTTAAAGCCACTACATTATAATTCTGCCATGTAGCATAGTTATATATGCACTTATTGTATTCCCTCTTACTGGATCATCAGCTCATTATAGGCCAACATTTGTTCATTAAACAAAACATGTTTTAAGTTCCCATTTTGTTCTGAGCGCTAGCAATATAAAGAAAAAGGAAACAAAGATAACATTGCTGTTCTCAAGAAGAGTATCATCTAGTGGTGGATGTGCAAATTTAATTAAGAATTAAATTCATATCTCCTTGTGCAGCAGTTTCCAAAGTGAGGTATGCACATTGAAGGTATGGAAATTTCATATTCCATAATATGATGACATTATGTGATATTTGACAATAATAGAGCATCTATTTATATTTAAAAATGAGAAATTATGTTTAATATTGAATATGTGGATTTACATATATTACATATATATCATTGTTTGTAATTATATATTAAAAATACTTTAGTGATAGTAAGATAGCAGTTGGAAGACAAATATTATATATACCCACTGGATGTCAGTAAACAATTGTTGAATAAAAAGACTCATAATCTCAGGTTAGTAAATCTTCTTATTGTCGCAGGTACACTAAAATCTACTTGTTGTCCTTTTAACCACACGTGCTTCCTCTTCTGCCTATTGCCCCATGAGCAAGTTCCCTCAGTGACATATCCAACTCATAGTTTTCCCTGCATTGACCAACCCAGAAGTCCTAATTCAATCTTGAGTTGAATAGAATTGAATTACATTGCTTGAGTGCATTTCTAATAATGTTTTCATGAGGTAACACATAGCAAGATTCACAGAAGGTTCATTTCAGTCCCCAAGTGTACACATTTTGTCTGAGCAGTTCAAGTTAGCCTCTATATTAATGAACAGATATGACAACCTCTGTGGATCACCAAATACTAGAAACCGTAGTCATGATTAGGTTTCTAATTTTTCTGCCCCAGAGTTCTTGTTCTACTTACTGATGCCACTTCAAGGAAGAAAGTTAGTGTTTATTTTGAGGGGTTATAGCAAGATTTCTGAGACCATCACGATAGATATTTGGGACCCATAATTCTTTGTTATTGGAGGGCTGTCCTGTGCATTGTAGGGTGTTTAGTATTATCTCCATCCTCTACTCACTAGCTGCCAGTAGCAGTTCATTCCCCTCCCCCATTTGTAACATGACAAACGTCTGGGGATATTGCCAAATGTTCCCTGGGGAGTAAAACTGTCCCCATTTGAAAGCCACTGGGTTAGGGTAAAATAGTATGAGGCATTAAAAAATGTACAGTGTAATTTAGCAAGCAGCAGATTAACTATGTAATTGGGTTCAAATGCAGTGTGAATTTCTAAAATGTGAATAATCAAAAATGATGTATTTGAGAGGTTAGAGTCAACTCCAATCCCCTGCTAATCACATTAGTTTTGAGTTGTAAATAATAACTTAAATCTTACTTCCCTCCGATGTTATTTAGCCATGGGGGACAGAGGTTTTAAGTGGTGAAACAGTAAATGGTAGAAAGAGTAAGGTGGAAGATCTACAGATAATATAACAAATTGGTGAAGGATGATTAGTAGCATGTTTTCTGAATAATCAAATGAATCAAGGCTATCAGGAAATTCTGTCGCTCATGACATCCATTGGGAGGTGTGCCCAGAAACAGCCAACAAAAGGTAGCATAGTACATAGGAAAAGATGATCCTTGGAATCTCGTTATTAAAAAGTGGCTCAAGGTCAGTTTCCCAGCACATTAGCAGAGTGCATGTTTTCTGAATGAGCTAACTAATTTTACTCTAAAGGCTTTCTCTAAATTCTAATTGGAGAGTCTTTAAATCTTCAAACATGAAAATGCTGGAGAAGAGATTCAATTATATGTGAATTGAAAATAGGAATAGATATGCTTGACCAGTATGTTTTTCTTTTCCCATTAGAACTAACGGAAAAACATCCAGCCTACTCCAATGGGCTTGCTGTCCATTTGCTGGATTTATGTCAGATGGGGAATTACTCAGAATCCAAGATACTGAAAAAGCAACTTGGGTCAAAACTGTCAATTAAATGGAGAAATTATGTACAAAATTAGGATTTCAGAGACCCAGATCTTTTGGCAGATAGCTAGGTCCTGACGCCCTTTGAAATCGGAATATAGTACAATGACCCTCTGGGGTAAACCTTCCCATTAAATTTGCAATTCTTCAATGTTTGATACTGTCCAGGGAGCAAATGAATTAAGACTTTCTTTTGTAAAATATATTTTTTATTTCTACCTGGCCTAAATTCTGATTCCTGCTTCTCTGTGGACTGCAAATGGAAAGGTTCATGTCCTATGGCAAGTGCCATCTGTAACTTATGCTTCTGAAAATTTAAAATGGCTATAGTTTATTGTTTTGTCACTATGTGTTACATCTACAGATTGTTTAAATGACAAAAGGAAAAAAGGGCTCTGTATGTATGCAAAAGAACATGTAATTAGATGCAAATAAGCAATAAGGCAAAGAAAAGACATTTAGCTTTTGCTTGTGTAATGTGATATAGGTTTTGTTATATACATATCATATTTATTTATCATATAGCAACTGGATGCACAGACTTTAAAACCACTTGAATATTAGATTTTGCATAATTGGGAGGCTGCCGTCACCAGTCCATAGCACAAAGTCAAAAGGCATTTTAGGAATTGCTTACAATGAATTGTAGGTCATTTGAAATAAATTTGTAGGAAGCCTATTAAATCTCTTTCTATCTCTCCTCTCTCTCTCTTTCTTTTTTCGCTACAAAACACCCTAAAGATCATTTCTCTAATGTTTTGGTCTGTCAAATCTGTATAAACAAGTATAAATGTTAAAAAAGTAAAGAATACTAATCAAGAGACACAAGACATACACTGCCTAATAAATCTTGCCTTCAATTTATTTGTCTAGTACTACAAAGGCAAAGGAGATATCAATTAATATAGGCAAAGAGGACCCATAATTTATAATTAACTGGCAAGTGGTTTGTAACAAACAGCAGCACCGAGTCTAATAGCCGGTAGAAAAATAACTAGTGTTGATTTGTCCCTCGGCAAATTAATAGAGTGCTTATCAATGACAGGGTTACATAAAACTGCTAAATAAATAATCATCAGTGAGTTCGAGTGAAGCAGATCTTTAACAAGCTTAATCTGAACCTCTTGACATCTGTAGACTATGAAGAGATTAAATGGTAAGAAAGAGAAGATACAGTGTGCACATTGTAAGCCTGCTCAGTAAGTGTACAAGATCATGTTCTTATGTAATGAGAAATAAAGAAACATTTTTATTGCAAAATTACATTGAAAAATGATTTTCATTATAATTAGAGTGAAAATTATAAAAGATATATCAAGGAAATGCTGAACTGGAATTCACCAGATGAGAATTTCACTACATCTCTTAACAATGAAAACACATCATTTTAGTCACTTTTGATATATTTTTGCTCGTTTGCTTCACTTTTGTTTGATATATTTTTGCTCGTTTGCTTCACTTTTGTTACTCACCTTTGTACACGCCACATGTTCCAACTCATATGTCACCACCACTACATCCGTGAGCTTGTTTTTGGTTATTATGGTTCCTCTATAGAAGAAAATTAATCAAGGTTCTATATTTAAATGGACATTTCCACCCTGCCTTCCCACCTACCCTCCCCCTAGGCATATATATGGAATTCTCAGTTTTTTTGTTGCAGAGCATTTTATTACTCCTGGTTTGGACTGTGCATCATTTGCATTGCTGGGAATTAATAGACCTGTATAATACCTCAGGTCTTGTCTTTTCTATAAGAAAATATTTTTAAATTACCATCTTTTGTAGGCATATTAACATCATGATACCACTTGGGTTTTCAGCACTAGTGAACTAAAAAATGCCTGTTTAAGATTGATATAGATACAGATATATAGTTGGAGCTTCTCACAAGTGGGGAGATCCCCCCTAAATTTTAAATAGAAACCTGATTTCTAGTGGGATAAATATATATTTCCATAGGTGTTCCTGTGAGAGACAAAACATGTCTTTGTCCATTTGTGCTGCTATAAAATACCCTAAGGCTGGGTATTTTATAAAGAAGAGAAATATTTATTTTCTCACAGTTCTGGGGTCGGGGAAGTCCAAGATCCAAGATTCTGGCAAGTTCGGTTTCTGGCAAGGGCTGCTGTCTGCTTCCAAGATGGCACCTTGAACACTGCATCCTCATATGGTAGAACAGAGGGGTAAAAAGGGACCAAATACTCTGTGAAGCCTCTTTAATAAAGCCCTTAATCCCATTCACGAGGGAGGAGCCTCATGACCTAATCACCTCCTAAAGTCCTCACCTCTTAATACTGTTGCATTGAGGATTAAGTTTCAACATCGATTTTGGAGGGACACAAAACCATAGCATATTCAAACTATAGCACATGCAAACATGGGGCTAGAAAGTCAAGAGCTGCATCCAGTGTCCCATTTTTGTTTAGGGCAGAACGTATCATTATTACAATTTCCACATTCCTTGGGCTTGGGGATGCCACCTCTGTAGGGGTTCACCATTAGACTTGTCTTTGCTCTACTTATGAGCTACCAGTGAAGATCAGCTTCAGATATGATTGATCATTTACGTTTTATTATTTGGATATGTCTTATTTTCTCATGTTAAATATTAGCTAGCACCAACAAGAACTGCTAAATATTCAGTGGGCATGTGTGTGTTTGTCTTTAATGTGCTTGGTAACTTACAGCAAACTACTCTGTTGGAGACATTAAATTACTTGACAATACTCAAATCTTAGTTATCAGCATCACTGCTTTCCTGAGCTTCAGACTGAATTTCCAACAACCTTTTGGGCATCTCACCCACAATATTCTAAGAGAACTTTATATTTACATATTAGACACTCATCTCATAAGTTAGTGGCATCATATTTCATCAAACTGTTCAAATTTAAGTAGGAGACATCCTTAATTTCCTATTCTTCCTCATGTTTTTTATACACTCTAAAGCCATCCAAATGAATCACTATATTCTTCTATATTTTTATTATTTGTGTTTGAGACAGGGTCTTGCTCTGTCACCCAGGCTATAGTGCAGTGGCATGATCATAGCTCACTGCCACCTCAAATTTCTGGATTCAAGTAATCTTCTTTCCTGACCTCCCCAAGTGCTGGGATTACAGGCATGAGCCGTTGCACCCGGCTGATACTCTTTAATTAAGCATCTAAAAGCACTCTCTTGTATATCCCTTCCTGTTTATTTCTACTGTCACCACCTTGATTCAGGCCCTTATTATCTCTTAGCTGAGATTTTGTAATAGCCTCTGAGGTAAGAATAATGACCCCCCAAAGGTGTCCAGGTCCTAGTCTCCAGAGCCTATGAATATGTTACATTACATGTCAAAGGGGAATTAAGATTGCAGATGGGTTTAATGTTGCTAATCAACTGACTTTAGGGAGATTATCATGGATTATGGCAGTGGGTCCAATTTAATGACAGGGATCTTTAAGAGTAGAAGAGGGGGACAGAAGAGGAGTGAGAATGATTTGATTTAAGTAGGACTTGACCCAGTGTTGCTGGCTTTAAAGATGGAGAAAGTGGCCATAAATAAACGACAAGGAAATGGATTCTCCCAACAGCCTCCAGAAGAAAGGCAGCCCTGCCAACACCTTGGTTTGAGCCTAGTGAGACCTGTGTCAGACTTCTAGCCTGCAGAACTGAAAGCTAATAAATTTGTGCTGTCTTAAGTCACAAAATTTGTGGGAGTTTGTTATAGCAGCAGTAGGTAAACAAATACAGTCACCAGTTCTTAGCCAGTCCCCTGGCCTTTAGCTTCCTTCTTTTGGATCTATTTTCCTTAGTTTTACCAAAATTATCTTTAAAAATACAGATCTGGCTATGACACATTCTTGTGTTGAATTCTTTGATGGTTTCCTCCATTGACTAGGATAAACTTGCACTGCTTTATCATGGCACACAAGGCTCTGCGTTATCTGTTCTCAGTTTCCAGCTTTTATGCCTCCTGTAGGTTTGCCCTTTCCTCATACTCCCCCTTCCCCACATTCCAAAAAAATGTATTCTATACTTAATACTTATTAGCTTACTCAGTTTCTGGAAAACACCAATAACCTTTATAGCTGCTAAGTGCTTGTTTATGCTGGTCACTTTATGTGGTATGTTCATTTCCTTGCTGTCTCCCTGATGTGTTTACCAAGCACATTCTTTAGTGCTGAGTTCAGGGATCTCCTTCATGGCTCTTTGCATGATATGATTACTCCTCCTTCCACAGCTGCTCCCTCTCAGACTAAGTGAGCACCTACTATATCCCAGCCATTCAGTTGTTCTAAACATTTTACAAGTATTAACTTGTTTAATCCTTGTAACAAGCCTATGGGAAAGAGATATTCTCATCTCTATTTTATGGCTGATAAAATTGAAGCACAGGGAAGATAAGTAATGTTCCCAAGTTAGAAAGCTAGTAAGAGATGGAGCTAAAATTCAATCCCAGGCATCTGTGACTCCAGAATTTGTTATCTGAACAATACTCTGTACCTTCAAATACCAGTCAAGTTAGTGAATAAGGAGAACATCTGCTTTTTCGGCTCTGTGAAAATAGGAAACTTTTTACTGAAGGAGTGGACAACATGATATAGCCCCCCACTCTCTGTGGTCTCATTAACTTTGATATATTTGGTTTATCAAGCAAAATCTGTTCATGCCAAAATTGTATTTTCTAAAATGTTTTTGAAAATGCTTACATCTATGTCCATGAAGGATTTGATAAGTAGTTTTTTTGTAATGCCTATTTTTGATTTTGCTTTCAGACTAATGCTGGTTTCATAGAATGAGGTGGGAATTATCCCTTCTTCTCTGATTTTATAAAATAATTTCTGTGAAATTGGCACTATTATTATTTTCTTATATGTTTGGAAGAATTCACCAGTAAAGTCATTAGATTTTAGAGTTTTCTTTCTGGGAAAGTTTTAAACTTTAAAATAAATAAAAATATGTAATAGGGCTACTCAGATTATTTATTTCTTCTTGAGTGAGTGTTGGTAGTTTGTTTCTTCAAGGAATTCTTTCATTTCATCTAAGATGTTGAATTTATTGACATAAGGTTGTATATAGTATTCCCTTATCCTTTAAATATCCTGAAAATCGTAATGATGTCACCTCTGTATTGCCTGAATTTGGTAATCTATATCTCCTCTCCCTTTTCACTAATTAATCTGGCTGTAAGTTTACCAATTTTATTGATTTTTTTCAAAGAAGCTGCTTCTGGTTTTATTAATTTTTTAAAATCATTTTTCTATTTTCTATTTCACTGATTTCTTCTCTGATAGTTATTATTTCCTTTCTTCTCTTCACTTTAAATTACCTTTTTTTGTGTGTGGCTGCTGCTTTTGTTTCTTATGGTAAAAGCTGAGTTTATTAATTTAAGACCTTTCTTCTTCTCTTATATAGGCATTTTCTGTTGTAAATTCCCTCCCCAACCACCAGTACTGCTTTACTGGAATTCACAAATTTTGATACACTGTGTTTTCATTTCCATTCTGTTCAAATTACTTTCTACTTTCCCTTTTGATTTCTTCTTTAACCTATGGTTTATTAGAAATGTGTTAAAATTTCTAAATATTTGGGAAATTCATTTCTTTTGATTTCCTATTTAACTTCCTTTGAAGTTAGAAAACATATTTTTTAAGACTTAAATTCTTTTAAATTTATGGAGACATATTTTTATGGCTCAGAAGTTAGCCTATCTTGGTGTTTGTAGTGCATTTGAAAAGTAGAGTTTTTTGAGATAGGGTCTTGCTCTGTCACCCAGGCTGAAGTACAGTTGGGTGATCACAACCCACTGCAGCTTCAACCTCCAGGGCTCAAGACAGAATGTATTTTCTAATGGTTGTAGGATGGAGTGTTCTATATATATGTATTACTTAAGTTAATTTGGTTGATACCATTGTAAAATCTCTATGTCCTAACTGGTTTTTTGTTCTATCAATTATTAAGAAAGAGATATTAGATTTCTAGATTAAATTTATGAATTTTTCTATTTCTCCATGTAACTCTCAGTTTCGTTTCATGTATTTTGAAATTATTTTATTAAATATATACACATTTAGAATTTTTATGTACCAATCCTTTTATCATTATGAAATTACCTTCTTTTCCACTGCTCATCTGCTCATAGTCTTTGCCTTGGTGTCTACTTTGTCTGATATTAATATAGTCACTCCAGCTTTCTTTTGGTTATCATTAGAATGGAACATCTTTTTCTATACTTTTAAAGTATTTGTTTCTTTATGTATAAAATGTGCTTCTTGTAAATGGTATATAGGCCATTCTTTTTTTAATCATTTTTTGAGAATTTTTGCCTGTTAATTGGAGTGTGATATGGTTTGGCTGTGTCCCCACCCAAAATATCATCTTGAATTGTAATCTGAATTGTAATCCCCACATGTTGGGGGGAGGGGCCTCATGGAAGGTGATTAGATCATGGGGGTGGTTCCCCCATTGCTGTTTTCATCATAGTGTGTGGAGTTCTCACAAAATCTGATGATTTTATAAGGGGCTTTTCCCCACTTCACTCTGCACTTCTCTCTCCTGCCACCATGTGAAGAAGGATGTGTCTGCTTTCCATCTTGCCATGATTGTAAGTTTCCTGAGGCCTCCACAACCATGTGGAACTCTGAGTCAATTAAAAATCTTTCCTTTATAAATTACCCAGTCTTAGGTATTTTCTTCATGGCAGTGTGAAAACATACTAATAGAGTAAGCTGGTACTTCAGAGAGTCGGGCACTGCTGTAAAGATACCCGAAAATGTGGAAGCAACTTTGGAACTGGGTAACAGACATAGGTTGGAACAGTTTGGAGGGCTCAGAAGAAGACAGGAAGATGTGGGAAAGTTTGGAACTTCCTACAGACTTGTTGAATGGCTTTGACCAAAATGCTGATAGTGATACGAACAATAAAGTCCAGGCTCAGACAGAGCTGAGGAACTTCTTGGGAACTGGAGCAAAGGTAACTCTTGCTATACTTTAGCAAAGAGGCTGGCAGCATTTTACCCCTGCCGTAGAGATCTGTGGAACTTTGAACTTAAGAGAGATGATTTAGGGTATCTGGCAGAAGAAATTTCTAAGCACCAAAGCATTCAAGAGGCAAAAGAACATAAAAGTTTGGAAAATTTGCAGCCTGACAATGTAGTAGAAAAGAAAAACCCATTTTCCGAGGAGAAACTGAAGCTGGCTGCAGAAATTTGCATAAGTACCGAGGAGCCAAATGTTAATTGCCAATACAATGGGGAAAATGTCTCCGGGGCATGTCAGAGGGCTTCACAGCAGCCCCTCCCATCAGAAGCCCAGAGGCCTAACAGGAAAAAATGGTTTCATGGGCTGAGTCCACTGCCTTGCTGCTTTGTGCAGTCTTGGGACTTGGTGCCTTGCATTCCAGCTGTGGCTAAAAGAAGCTAATGTATAGCTCAGACTATTGTTACAGAGGGTGCCCCAAGCCTAAGTGGCTTACATATGGTGTTGGGCCTGTGGGTGAACAGAAGTCAAGAACTGAGGTTTGGAACCTCCGCCTAGATTTCAGAGGATGTATGGAAACACCTGGATATCCAGGCAGAAGTTTGCTACAGGGGCAGAGCCCTCATAGAGAACCTCTGTTAGGGCAGTGGGGAAGGGAAATGTGGGGTCAGAGCCCCACACAGAATCCCCACTGGGGTACTGCCTAGTGGAGCTGTGAGAAAAGGGCCACCATCCTCCACACCCCAGAATGGTAGATCCACTGACAGCTTGCACCATGTGCCTGGAAAAGCCACAGACACTCAATGCCAGCCTATGAAAGCAGCTGGGAGGGTGATTGTACCCTGCAAAGCCCCAGAGGCAGAGCTGCCCAAGGCCATGGGAGCCCACTTTTGCATCAGCATGACCTGAATGTGGGACATGGAGTCAAAGAAGATCATTTTGTAACTTTGAGGCTTAATGACTGTCCTGCTGGATTTTGGACTTGCATTGGTCCTGTAGCACCTTTGTTTTGGCCAATGTCTCCCATTTTAAGTGGGTGTATTTACTCAATGCCTGTACCTTCATTGTATCTAGGAAGTAGCTAACTTGCTTTTGGTTTCACACACTCATAGGAAGAATGGACTTGCCTTGTCCAAATGAGACTTTGGATTTGGACTTTGGGGTTAATTTCAGAATGAGTTAAGACTTTGAGGGACTGTGGGAAAGGCATGATTGTGTTTTGAAATGTGAGAACCTGAGATTTGGGAGAGGCCATTGGTGGAATGATATGATTTGGCTGTGTCCCTACCAAAAATCTCATCTTGAATTGTAATCTGAATTGTAATCCCCACATGTTGGGGGCAGTACCTCATGGGAGGTGATTAGATCATGGGACCAGTTTCCTCATGCTATTCTCATGATAGTAAGGTTTCATGACATCTGGTGGTTTTATAAGGTCTTTCTCCCCTTCCCTCTCTACTTCTCTCTCTCCTGCCACCACATGAAGAAGGATGTGTCTGCTTCCCTTCTGCCATGATTGTAAGTTTTCTGAGGCTTCCCCAGCCATGTGGAACTGTGAGTCAATTAAACCTCTTTCCTTTATAAATTACCAAGTCTCAGGCATTTCTTCATAGCAGTGTGAGATTGGACTAACACAAAGTGTTTAAACCATTTTTATTTAATATGATTGTTGACATGTGTGGAAAAAGCTAAGTCTATTATCTTTCTGTTTTCTATTTGTTTCTTTTTTCTAACTCTTTTTTTTTTTTAACTTTTCTGGGTGGTTATTTGTATTATTTGTGTTCATTTTCACACTGCTATAAAAATACCTGATACTGGGTAATTTATAAAGAAAAGAAGTTTAATTGGCTAACAGTTCCACAGGCTGTACAGGAAGAATGGCTGGGGAGGCCTCAGGGAAATTCCAATCATGGCAGAAGGAGAGGGGGAAGCAGGCACATCTTCACATGGCCAGGGCAAGAGGAAGAGAGAGAGGTGGGAAGTGCTACACACTTTTAAACAACTACATCTTGTGATAACTCACTCACTATGAGGAAAATAACACCAAAAGGGAAATCTGTCTTCATGATCCAATCATATGGATTGGATTTTATACATCTGAAACCAATTTTCATTTCATCTTTACATTTGAAAAATATGTTCCCTGGTATGGAATTCTAGTTTAATAGTTACTTTTTTTTTTTTTCTATCAGTACTTTAAAGGTGTTGCTCCACTGGCTTCTCCTTTGCACTGTTTCTGAAGAGCAATATGCTGTAACTCTTACCTGTCTTCCTCTGTGTGTCTTGTGGCTCTTTCTTTGGCTACTTTTAGAACTTTGTTTTTTCACCAGGTTTGATCAATTGGGGGTAGTTTTTCTTTATGTTTCCTGTACTTGAGCTCATTGAGATTCTTGAATTTGGAGTTTATAGTTTTCATCAAATTTGAAAACATTTTAGGCATAATTTCTTCAAATTTTTTCTCCACTTCCATCCTCTCCTTATAGGATCCCAATTACATGTATATTAGGCAACATTAAGCTGTCTGTCCCTCAGCTCACTGATGTTTTTTAAAATTATTGTTTTGTTCTTTTTATTTTTTTGCTTTTGCTTTTGTTTTTGTTTTTGTTTTGTTTTGTTTACAGATAGGGAGGGTTTCACTTTGTCACCCAGGCTGGATTAGAGTGATGTGATCATAGCTCATTGCTGTCTGGAACTCCTGGGCTCGAGCAATCTTCTTGCCTCAGCCTCCTGTGTAGCTAGGACTAGGTGTGCTCCACCATGACTGGCTAATTTTTTATTTCTATTTTTGTAGAGATGGTGTCTCACTGCATTGCCCAGCCTGCTTTTAAACTCTTGGTCTCAAGTAATCCTCCCACCTTGGCCTCCCAAAGTGTTGGGATTGTAAGTATGAGCCCCTACACTCAGCCTGCTCTTTTATTTTGGATGGTTTTTATTGCTGTTTTCAAATTCACTAATCTTTTCTTCTACAGTGACTAATAATGCTGTTAATCCCATCCTGGTTAGTTCTCTGGAAGTTTGATTTTGATCTTTTTTATCCTTTATGTCTTTTCTTAGCTTTTTGAATATATAGAACGGAGTTATAACAATTGTTCTAATGGCCTCATCTTCTGACAGTAACATCTGTGCCTATTTTGGGTTGGTTTTAATTACTGATTTTTCTGCTCCTTAAGGTTTTGGTTGTCTTTTCTTTTTTCTTTTCTTTTTCCTTTTCTCTTCTTGATTCTTTACATGTCTAGTAATCTCGGAACTGTGATTTTACCCTGTTGGGTGCTGATTATTTTTGCATTTATATAAATATTTTTGTCTTTTGTTTGGGACACAACTAAGTTACCTGTAGGTTTAATTTTGGAGGGTCTTACTTTTAAGGTTTTGAACTGAGTCCAGAGCAGTGTTTGGTCTAGCGCTAGGTGTTTCCCACTAGTAAGGCAAGAAACTCCTGTGTACCCTTCACAATGCCCTGTGAATTATGACGTTTCCTTGCCAGTAGGAACACTCTTCTCAGCCCTCTTTGGCCTCCTGGCACTGTTTTCTCTAATCCTTTTGGATACTTCTTTCCCTGGCCTCAGGCAGTTTCATCACAGGCCTGTGCTAATAACTACTCCGCTTAAGTACTCTGAGGGCCTCTGCAGATTTCCAAAGTCCCTTCTCTGGGCAGCCCTCTTCTCTCTGGCACTGTCTTGTGAACTGTCAGCTGCCTTTGTCTCCCTATACTCTCAGCTCGGTCTCTTCAACTAATGATTGGGCTGTGCTCCGCCTGGGTTCCTCATCCCTGTACCGCAGCCTAGAAACTCTCAAAGTATATTTTATGGCAATTGTAGGGTTCACCTCACTTGTTTCACATCCCTTAGGGACTACTGTCCTTTGTTGCCTGCTATCTAGTGTCTTGAAAACCATTGTAATGATCTGGTTTTTATTTTTTCAGGCAGAAGTTAAATGTGGTCACTTTTACTCCCTCTTGGTTGGAAGTAATGTCAAGTTAACATTCTTGTTGCTCACTTAAGGGCTTCTTGGTGGAAACAAAGACCCAGAACCTAAAGTTTGAATTTTCTGTTTCGATGAATTCTGATGGACCAGAAGCTTTTTCTACCTCAGTGACCTCACTGTATTTGCTAGGAAGAATCAACTGATGGCCTCTAGCAGAAATGGGGTATTCAAGACAAGCTTCTAAGGAGCCTGTCCTGATAGTATTAACCCACCCGGCAATCCCAGCTACATTCTGTAGCACTTAGGTCTAAAGCTGTATTTGGACAACCTCCATGGTAGGTGCCTGTAATAAAAAGTCACACCATAAAAATAGACATAGATTCTTAGGAGACCCATGGCTTTGCACTAAAAGATAAAGGAAAAAAACTAAATCTGAGCCTTCAAAAATTGTGTAGAAAATTTTGAGAACTGGATGAGAAGTTTTTCTGCTTTTATGCAGTACTTATTTTTGTCGATTTTTTAATCAACTGTAGCTCCAAAATTATTCCTGGGCCTGACATTTCACAGGATCATTTGCCATTCAGATGTGTTGCTCACTTTTGTGTGACTGATCTGCAGAGCCTAGGACCAAACATTTTTAATAAAAGTTTAAACAATTACAAAAGACAGTATAGAGTCCTCATACCATGTTTCGAAAGGCTTTAGGTTGTTAACATTGAAATGGATGTCAGGTTTGATAAAAGAAATAAAAGTACTTTTTTTAGTTCATAATGAATGTTTTCACTTCAGGGCTATGGGAGTCATGTTTCTACATATTTCCAAGCATGCGACTTTTCCAGGATAATGTAACTCAGGACTCCCAGGCCTTCACTGTCCAGAGGAAGATCAAAACTACAGAAAGAAACACTGAAGGCTGTTTTCCTGGATTGCTTTCCTGAGGGCTTTATGATCTTCTCAGGCTTCCTTACATGTCTGGTGCTAGGAATTTCTAGGGAGCAGCTAACTTTATGCTTCTTGAACTAGTCGTTTTTGAAGGAGATGAGCATGTCTTCATTTTCCTTTCTCCTGCTCCTTTTCCCCATTATTATGTCTCTTGCCACTACAAAAGGGTGACTATTCCATGGTACCTGTAAAGATGGCACTTCTCCTGCCCATTGACAAATGCGTCCATTCTCCCCATGTCTAGGGTACAACTACGTATACCGAGAGTACCTTACCTCTTGAGGGCATCCCCTGAACAGTTGATGCCAACTCATAGCTGGGCTAAGATTCTTCATGCCTTCTGCCAAAGGGGAGTCTGGTTGTTATCTGGGTCGAGAACGTTGGCTATTATTGTTGCCACTGCTGCTGACTTCTTGGACTCTGAATAAATCATTGAAGTTTTATGAAATTTTTCTTTGCTTTTGCTGACTCTCCTGTTGCAGTCATACCACCCCAGGATTCAAAGGATTTAACTTTTGAGCTAATCTATGGAAAACACTTAGGAGAAAGTAGAATTTATTCACAGAACTACAAAAAATACCCATATGACTGGAGGCTATCTGTGTAAATAGCCGTGTAATACTGGGGTCTAGAAGGGCTCCTTAAAAGAGGACCCTCTTCTTTGATATAGCTCACCTTTCATTTGAACTAATTATTGTTCTTATTCCTGTTTTCATCTATTTGCCCTTATTTGCATTAATGGCACACTTTTGAACAGCAGCATATTTCGATGCCCCTTTGAAGGAATTAAATTTGCATCCACAACCATCATACGACTCACGTGGTTGCCTTTATCACAATGTGGCTGTGTGAGTAGAGCAATTTGTTTTCCTGGGCTCACTCCATTATGCTCTCATGCATCTCTGCTTTTTTTTCTTTTCTTTCTTTCTTTTTTTTGAGACAGAGTCTCACTCCATCATCCAGGCTGGAGTGCAATGACGCGATCTCGGCTCACTGCAACCTCCGCCTCCCAGGTTCAAGCAATTCTTCTGCCTCAGCCTCCCAAGTAGCTGGGACTACAAGCACCTGCCACCATGCCAGGCTAATTTTTTTTTTTTTTTGTATTTTTAGTAGAGACGGGGTTTCATCATGTTGGCCAGTCTTGTCTCAAACTCCTGACCTCAGGTGATCTGGACACCTTGGCCTCCCAAAGTGCTGGGATTACAGGCCTGAGCCACCATGCCTGGGTGCATCTCTGCTTTTACTGTCTATTCCATAGGTCAATTTTTCCCTGGGAGGACCCCGATTCTTCATATAAATATACCAGAAAGAAACTTGCACCACCAGCCTTTCAAACATACCTAAATATGTCTGAATTCTCAGGTGAACATATTTTTTGCTCAACTGAAACTTCTGTTACTGTTCAAACAAACATCTTTACCTGGCATTCTCTTGGGAATGAGTAACTAACAATGAATTTCTGGTGGCAATGAAATGGTACAGCCTATAGGTAGGAGGGCCTGCTGAGCAAGTCCTTAGAGATGTCTGTACTTTCCCAGATATAGGACTGGATGGCATTGGGGTGTTCTCTCAGAACTTTGAGGTTTGCCAAATCTAGGAAAGAATTTTGATTTTTTACGTGCTTACTTGATTTCCTAGAATGACTCCTGGATAGAAATAAAATTGAAAGTAATTTTGTTTTTAGGCAATCCCATAGCATCACATTGCTTCTGATCTCTTCACTCCAGATAATGGAATGATGAGCTGACACAAGGCCACATGAAGCCAGGGTGAGGTAAGGCTACAAGGAGGGGCAAAGAATGAGAGATAGCAAATTTCACCAGAAAGAAATTAGGGAACAGTAAAGAGAATAAGAAAAGTAAGGAGGCAGGAAAATCTGAGTCATGGTTCTTTTACCTATAAAAGAAGTAAATTCACATGCATTTAAGGGGTGTGTGTGTGTGTGTGTGTGTGTGAAGTAAATAGTTGTATATGTCTGTGTTTCAATTGTTTTATCAAACCTGGAATGTTGCACCAATGAAGTAGATCCAAAGCCTTAATTGGACTCATATTTACCTGGGATTGCATGGGTGGGCTTTTATATTCTTTGGTGAAAAAAACCATTCCTTGAATGATAGCAAAAGAAGGGGAAACTCCCTTCATTGAATGTGCTCTCTGATCTTCCATACAAGCTTTTATGTGATTGGTAGCATCTCTTGAATTGGGATCAGGCCCTAGCAGCTGTTGGGAGAACTTGTCCCTGACCATCTTTGTTGGCAGCAACAGGACGCTGCCCTGAGGGGGCATTGTTAACCTTCTCAGTGGTTTTCATCTTACACTCCCTCAACCTTTAGATGGATTCTTTCAGAAGTGCATTTTTTAAAGTAGCATTTGTTTATACCTGGTTTGCTAACAGGATGAGTTAAAGTCTTTGATATTCCAGTATACTGCAAAAAAACTCAGGTGATTAACAAAAAAGAGAATCATTACATATTTACAAGAATACTGATGCTTTTGTTCGAATAGTACCTTTCATTTGAAATAATTTTTGTTCTAATTTTCTCCTGTTTTCATCTATATGCCCTTTTTGCATTAATGGCACACTTCTGAATACCAGAATATTTGGAGTCACCCTTGAAGGAATTAAATTTGCATCCACAACCATCATACAACTCATGTGGTTGCCTTTGTCACTGTGTGGCTGTGTGAGTAGGGCTACGTGTTGTCCTGGGCTCGTTTCATTACGCTCTCAGGAGACAAAGTTCTTCCATGTTTTAGAAGACACTCCATTTTTATTTTGCATAGGCTTAGTGCTGCATATAATAACAATAACAATAATAATCTGTTTATTTTTTTATCCATCTTGGAGAAAGTTGTACTTCTCTTCTTATTCTGAGACTAGCTTAAAATTGTCTGTTGGACAGGTATCACTATAATTCAGTTGTAACAATCAAAGCTGCATAATGATTATAAAAAAATTGGTGGCTCACCACCAATTCAGGGTACCTAGCTATATTGTACTACCACAACAGAATAATATCATTCTAATATTAATTTGTTAATCATTTCTGATGGATAACCTTGACCCAACTTCTCTGAAAATACTCTATATTTTCAGCCAGATATACCCTTATGTGTTTCTTGATGTTGTGTTTTTATTTTCCTCCAATATCGGGGTTCTGGGGAAAAATGCTTATTTAAATCTAAATTATAATTCAAAATTGATAAAAAAAAATACATTGTATCTCTATACGTATATGTTGCGTTTATAAATAAATGATACCCAAAGATTTGCAAATAAATCTCAGTGCCATCCTCTATATCCTTTTTGGATATGACACATGAACCATTTTAATAGGTAACTATCATGTAATAAGAAAAACAGATCCACTTTATTAGTGCTGTCTTGTTATTTTGCTTTTCAGTATAGGATCAGAAGTGATTTATGAATAAACTTTGAAATATAGTCCAATACATTATGTCAGCTTTGTTCTTTTGAGTTTTGGCAATTGCATCCTCCATAATAAACAATATCAACAATCATATGCCGCATCACTATTGCCCAGAAAAACCCACAAAAACCAAGTGAGCTATTACTTCTCAGCTCTGTCCTTCGCTTGAAAGATGTTTTATCAATGTTTCCTTGAATACTCGAATGCCTTGCAGGTCATTTACTAATTTTATCATTATCTGCTTATTTGCATGCAGTAGGAAGACTGGACATTGCATACCCAGGCATGGTGCCCAGCACAAACTGTCAGGGCTGGAGTCTCTACCACGCTGTTGGCAATATGCTGTGGAGAGGCAGCCACAGAGTCAGGCTCCCACAGTAATGAGGAACATAAAAAATGATTTTTTTTAATTCTGAAAATCTTTTTGAGAGCATGCAAAGTGAAAAAGGGCAAAGTCTTTAAGAGAGAGGAAAAAATAAAGGGCTGTGAGAATTCTGTGATGGAAGAAGTTGGCACCTGGGCCAAACCCAGCATCTCTGGACTGACAAGGACTTTAGGGTACCATCAGCAGGCGGGTGTGAGTCACATGCTGGCATTTTCTCTTTCCTCACTCCTGCCTACTCACACCATGACTCTAAATCAAAACTCAAACTTAAAAAACAAAAAGATCTCACTGTGTGTTGGATACATAATAATGTGTTTCTATCTAAACTTCTTTCTGTCCTCTAGATTGACAATTCACACCATACAAAGCACACTGTGGATTGGCACTCCATCTAAGGAGCTCTGTAAATGACTATCCCTTATGGCCAGATCATGGAAAATGCAGGCAAGGTCCTATGTGTTAGTCCTTGCCCCAGGTATCATGCCTATGCCAGCCTGCGTACTGACTTCAACGTTGCATTGTCCAATGCTCAGTCAGAAGGCTGAGCTTGTCTCATTACTCTCCACATCTACAATGAGTTATGTAAATCCTGCCTACCTAGTATTATCTTGTGGTTCTTTTTATACCCCCAAAACATGTTGTTATGAACTTCACTATGATGTCTCCGTTCTACTCTCTCTTCCCATGGCACAGAGATTCCTCTAAACCCAGCAGCAAAACCCAACCCCAGAAGCTGACAAAAGCTGCATAGTAGGCTCTCTTACTCATGTCTATCAGCCTCTGAATGCTGATGTGTTCTTGAAATGAGGGAGCTTTAAAAACCCTTGTTGACATCAGTCTAAGATCTCTCTGTCTGAGGTACTATCAGGGAATTCGCAGGGCATTCATCAAAATCAAGCTGATGCAAGCATGAATACTCACAAGAAAGAGCCCTTTTATGCCGAAAACTGCTGAAGGCTGGAAAAGGGGCTAATTTATTTAAATTATCCCTCTAAGTGTCAAGCCCCACAATTTCTGGAAGGAGCTGACAACTGTGGGTTAAAGAAAGTTTTCTTAAATTTATAAATAAATTAGTGACGGTAGAAAGTTAACCTGGGAAATCAGAGTAATAGAAAAGTAATCGCCATCGATGTTGATGCAGATGTAGGAAAATACAGTTTTCTGCTATTAAGCTTTTAAATGTCAGCAAATGGCAGTTTAGTAGATCATTTGCTAATAATGATTAAATTTCTCATTAAAATGCTTCCTTCATTATTCTTCAGGTAAAAATGTGTAATTCAATGATTGTTACATCAATTACACTTAAAAAGCTCATTAAAACACTGAAATATTATCTCTCGTAGTCAGAGTACTTTGAGAGTACTGTACTAATTATAAAAGAAATAAACTCTTATAATAGCACCATTTGAACTGATGCCTTATAAATTCTTAATGTAAAGCTAACATGTAAAGTTTAAATCAAATATATAGATCCAATAAAACGAAACCTTTTTAATCTTGTTTTACCTTCAAAAGGACTCTGATTATTGTAATTAAATAATGCATGATATAATAAAGATCTGGAGTATGTGATTATTTCATTGGCAATTGAATATTGGTGCTTTTTATTTATGCAAGCAATGTATCACAGGCAATATGCATCAAGCATTAAAATAGTGATACAATTACACCTAGCCTGCTGAACCAATAAAAAAAATCTGTGACATGACTCTGCTGATGATACTAGGACAGTTTGAAATCCTTTTTAAATTTTAATACTCTGATGTGCTGGGTTATGCTAATTTTGCTAAGAAATAATGCCTCCAAGATTCACTGTTGTGCTTTCTATTCCTGTGCGTGAACAAATCCAGCTTTGCTCAGCATAGCTAACAAGTAGAGTTTGCTTCTGTACACATTTGGCCATTGTTTCATTTTTTCTTTTTCTTTTTTGTTTTTTGTTTTGTTTTGTTTTTGAGAAAGACAAGAGAATAGTGAAGTTTGGGATTAATTTGTTTGTTTTTAGGGGTATTCATCCATATTATAATGATCTTTCTCTAATTTTCTCATTTACTAAGTTTCACAGTTTTTTTTTTTTAAACATTCAAATGCTTTTTATCCTTAAGTCCTTTCTCAGCAGAGTAAAGGGTCAGGAAAGGTTTTCCTTTTAGCTGCTTTATTATTAAAGCCCTGGCAAGTGACTACACAAAGTTCTGAGCCCATCCCAGAAGTCCCCCAGGGACGGAATAGGTGATGGGATTTTTCTGTCATCTGCACACCTGAGGTTCAGTCTTACATAGCTGACCCATTTTCTCACCTGTAAAAATGGACCAAAAATGCCTTTGTTGTTCTGTGTACAAGACGTAATTTAATACATAATTGTTGACTAAAAAACCCAGCAACAGAAACAGACTCTGCTCACTTGGCTGTGAAATGTTTGCATAATTCGAGGGACCTTCCTCTTTGCTTCTGAAATATTTTAGACCCCTCCCCTGCCTAGAGTGAAAGATTTTTCTGTTATCTCACCTAAGAGTGCTGTTAACATAGAAAAATGCACAGATTCCTAGTATGATAGCTGTGCCAGGAACCAAAAAATGACCTCGTTCAACTTTCATATTTTACGGTGGTGTCATTCTAGGCGCAGAGATGTAAAGGGGATGCGTATATACACCCATGTCTTCTTCTGACCAGTCCCACATAGGAGTGTGATCTGATGGGATCTGCATCCTTGTCAGACCTTCTCCTCAGTGATGGTTATCTGGGCGATCTGATAAACACCCTGGTCCCTAAGAAGAAGCTGCCTGATATCTGCTTTTCCAAAGAGGTGCCAAGTATGATATGGAGCTCTGAAAGAAGTGAGAATTGTTGAGCCTGTAAACAGGGTATATACATCATAGCAATTTAATTGCATTTTAAGACCCCAGAGCTGTACTCTAGAGCCAATAACTGTGTAAGCCCCATCTTCACCTGTCCTTCCAGGGACTATAGTTCCCCTTTTAGCAATGTCAGGTATATTTCCTCCCTCTTTTCCTATGTGAATAAGTAGCAATGGCTGGCGATGATACAGCACAGTTGATCATCCTGAATGTCTATAGGATGTCATATTTATGCTCTTCTGTTTAGCTTAAATCTTACTCAGGTTCTAATAGCAAACAGTTCAGTTACAATGGGCTGGCATTGCAAAGCATCTGCTCAATTCAGATAAATAAGACCAATGTGTTTGAAGGGCAAAGTTTCAATACAAGTGGTCTGCCATTTCATTTGGAGATGCAATTCTTATTCAGCATAAATAACAGAGGGGAAAGGGATCATTTGCTAATTGATTAATTATCTTGTAAATGAATTACAAACCTGTGGAGTGTTAGCTAGGTGTTTGCAAAAGACCTCAGCTGCTTTCTTTTCTCCTTTGAGTCTGTAAGTACTGTACAAGTGACGATGAAGCTCTATACTCACAAAGCTGATATGTGTCATACCAGGCTGAAGGCCGCATGCCATGATGCACTTGTTTTTCAGGGTTTGAAACCACTCGTTGTCTGATGAAGGTATGCATGTGTGCATGTTTATGTGCATATGTGTATAAAATGAAAAGAATTAAATTTCCAGTTAAAGCAATACATGAAGTTAACAGTTCAGTTGGGGATGGGAGACCTTTTTTTTTTTTTTTTTTTTTTTTTTTGCCTTTATTTTTACATTCTATAAATGAGCAGAGTTGTGCCAAATAACAATCTTTTGTGGACTAAAAATGCCAAGGATTAAAGATCAGAGAGAGGAGTGTTCCCAAAGTGCAAACGCTGGTGTGTTTGCAGCACCTTGATAACCACAGAAGAGCCGATAATTAACATTCCTGCTTCCTAGGCAAAGGGCAATTGGCCTTCCAAAGGTGTCCCTATTTTACTGTTTCTCTCCCTATATGAAAGTAGCTGATTTAGTCAGGAAGGTGACAGTTAAGGCTCTTTGCTGGCAGAATTTTTGCATCTTTCCAGTGCCTCGTTTCCCCTGACTTTACCACGGAGGCTGTCCATCACGGTTGTTATGTATGCAGGCTGAGTGAGCCCGCAGGGGATCCTAGTTATTTACACTCTTTTTCAAGCTTCGAAGCTGTTATAATCATTCGCTGTCAACTTTGTGCTGACACTGAATTTTACTTTGTGTTTTTTATGCTCGGTTTGGGTCTAAATACTGGCACCCATACCCGACACTGTAATTCCGTGGGTGACTGAGCTGACCAGCCATGTCCTGTATTACTAACAGAGCCCTGGAATCCTGCTACATATGGAAATTTCAGGATTTGTTGATTGTGGACAATAAACAGAGTCCTCCGGCTTTGTGCTTTTATCCAGGTGGTGGCCCTAAAGAATCAGCAGTGCACCCTGTTTCATCTCATTACATTTTCATCTTTAAGAACACATAAGTATCAGTTTCATTTGCCCCTGAGTTGTAAAGTTGGAACAGGCAAACTTTCCCTCCGTAAAACCCAGTGTGATTTTCAGACGTTACTTCTTCTCTCCAGATCCCTGTTACAAGGAGAAGGTCTGTGATCTCCCCTTGTGGTTTTCCCCTCCCCCTTCCTTTCTATCCTCTGTGAGTCCAAATACATGCCAGATATGCATTCATGATCCAGATTAAAATAGAAGTGTTGTCCTGGGCAGTATGCATGATGAGGGACAGATTATAAAGACCCTGGGTAAGGCCACCAGAGGGGTGGGAGCGATATGCTTTTAGACTTCATCAATAGACATTTGCATGCTCAGACTTAAATGCCCTGTGTCCCAGTCATGCGAGGAATAAACACCTTCCTTTCACTTGTGAACAACATTCTACCCATTAAGTCCAGGGCCTTAAACCTTTAATGACAGGGCAGCAAATTATTTCTCCATGTTTAAAAGGTACTGTTGCTATGCACCATCCCTGTCTTCAATATGAAAATTTCATGTACATCGGGCCCAAAGGGAGTGATCCACAAAATGATATGACCCTATTCTTAACTGGACTTGAAATAAAGCTGGTCAAAGGAACTTGTGTGCTTGGCCAATGTAATAAAGTAGACAAATAATTACGGAGCAAATCAAACACACTTACACCTCAGATGATTTTGAAATATTATCTATAATCGGGCACTTCTGTGCTAGGAGGAAAGGTTAATAAAGTAATTTAAAAAAGATTGTGTGGAGTATTATAGAATCAGAAGAGGACTGGCAATCATAATTGTTAATCTCCTGAAACACCAGTTCTGTATTGCACAAAGCGGATATTTTAGTGCATATTCTTATTGTGTATTCCACTTATTGCTATATTAGCTTGCTTAATTATCCTTTTTAAAAATCTTACGTTTTTGGCACAAAAAAAGTTGATATAATTATTCTAGCAGACCTGAAATGTGTATGTCAATCTTAAGATGTGTAGGAAAGATTGATATCTTTGAAAATTAATTGTCTTTATGTATGTCACATAGAAGATAAACATTGGAGTAGGCAATAGGTATACTCTTTCTTTCCTGCTTTTGTTTGTGTTGGATAGATAGGGGAATGGCACAAATTTTGCAGTTGGAATAAGGAGAAGTAATTCTGAGCTTGCTGGTGGTAGTTTAACACTCTTCAGATAAAGCTAAGATGTACAGTTGGGGCTTTTTCATAGAAAAATCTGTTTACATAAAACATCATCTGTTTTGATCAAAAACTTACTGATACAAAAGTAAGTTTCAGTCATTCTTTCTTCTACTGAAGAATTCTATAGAAGGAAAAAGGGGGACCAGCAAGCATCAGAAGACACAAGCCCCACCTCCACCACTAACTAATTGTACCCCGGAGCAGATTGTTTATCCTCATCCGTAAAATAGAAATAACAATAGAGCTTCCTAGGACCTTGGAAGGATAAATGAGAGAAGTACAGAAACTTCAAAAGCAGCATCCTTGGCTTCACTAAATTTTCCCGTCATATTCATGTCATAATACTTTATGACTTATAAGTGTTTTAAAATATTTAATGTTTAGTTATGCAACTATTTTTCACTTTATGTGAAGCCCATCCTGGCTACAAATAGATTTTTAATGTGTTTCTGTACAAATAATTTGCACTTTAAATCATGCCCCTTGCTTGACCCTGCTGCCTCTTCTGGGGAACATTTACTCTTCTCTTTTCACTTCCCAACATCTCAAAGAGTGATATATCACTCCTGTACTCTCACATTCACTTTATCCCTAACCTTCTTGCACTCAGCTCTGTGCCTGCCGTGCTGCTGAAGCTGACCTTGCCTTAGTCCCAGTGGCCAGTGATCACTTTTCCAGGCCATGCCTTTGACCTGTCTGCAGCACTGCCATACTGGAGCCTTAGGGCAACCCTTAGCCTCTGAGACATGAGGTGCTCCTGCTAAGCTGCCACTTCTGCTTCACATTTCTCCCTCCTCCTTCTTCCTGCCTGGAGAGGATGTGCCATGGGTTCAACCTGAGCCGTTGGCTCCTGTCTCTTCACACTCCTTCACAGGCTCTGTCTATTCCTGAAGCTTCAAAGAGAGCCTCACTGCTGCTTACTCTGCCCAGATCCCCCTTTCAAGCCTCAAACTCCAATCGCTCATAAGAACATAAACAAACACATTTCTGGCTGCAGCTGTGCAGAACTCTGCAACTAGCAGGAGTTATGTAGCAGTGAGAGTGACCAGATTTGAAGAAGCCTTATTTTAGATTGAGGTGAATTAGCGTCTTAATTCTTACAAATTGAAGCAATTGTGAAGTTGTTCACTTTTTATGGTTTTGGTGTAGAAGCAAGCAGATTTCATAAAATGCTGGAGCCTGGTGTGCTAGAATCACCTACTAAACATTGTTTCGTATAAGACTGAGGGTTCGGAAGGAGTATTCCATGCATGTGCATCAGTTGCCAGCATGGTTTTAGGACTTTGGGGATATGGCGCACACCCTGGGAGCACGGAGGACTTTCGAACGACTGAACTGGAGTGTCCATTAGTTGCTTTGTGGATTGACATCTTCATTATTTTCCAGCAGCAAATACAACTCTTAGAATTCTTGGCAGTAACATTGGCAAGACTCCAAAAGCCAGACCTTTTGAGGAATTTGACCCAGGACAACATCGTCTGTGCTTTCAATTAAGTAAAATTAAAAAGTGGAAAAAAAAAAAGGAAAAAATCAGAACGTACTGTTACTCTCAGGTGCTATCACACCCCACAAAATTTGTAGTAAGCTTCTATCTGTCTCCTGAAAAGTGAGAACCTGGTCCAGTGGAGGTCATGAGAGAAGTTCAGGTCAGGTCCACAAATGTCTGATATGTGCCTTTGAAAGCCTGGCTTTTCTCTGAACGTGTCAGCTGACATTTGCTGTCTCCTACCTTCTTCTGGGATCAATACCAAATCCCTATGGAGAACTGGATGACTTTGTCAAACACACACACACACACACACAAACCTTCATGGACACAGGGTGGGATCATGGGGTGGCAGGTGGCAGGATAGGAAAACTTTAGTATGTGAAGAAAAATCGAGGGAAAAGGAAGATCTCTCTTCTCAATTTTGAAACTCAACTACCATTACCTCACATGCCCCGCTGCTGTAGTTTGTGCTTCTGGATCTAATGATGCTATTCTGTCTGGTTGCAACTTTAGGACATGAAACCTTCTATAGAATTTGCCAGATTATTAAATAGTTGGTGAAAACAGAAAGCTAACACATTATTTTTTAGTAATGTTTTTCTTTGATCATATTTCCAAATAAAAGCTCTTTTATTGGATCATATTTCCAAATAAAAGATCATATTTCCAAATAAAAATACAGTGCAGTTCTATCTGCATGAATGAATTCTAGAGTATAGGCAGGTAACACATGATTTCAAATATGTAAATATTAGTCATACGGAAGGCCTGACAAAAATTTATTGGTGAAGTGGAATTTACTGATATCAGCTGTGGTTTGTTGATTCCTCTTTATCTCTCCCTCTTTCTTCTCTCTCTCTCTGTTCCTTCTTCTTTGCTTATTTTCTCCTTTTCTTGCTTTTCTCTTTCTTTCCTTTTTTCTGTCATTTCTTCCTTTTTAGAATATTATATGGATTGCTTTTGTTTATTATTATTGACATAAAATGATTTGTTTCATTTCCTTGCATATAATACTGATGTTGGCTATTGCATTATTCAATATTTCTTACCTTTACATTTCTACCCAAAGTTAGAGTGTTCCTGCAACCTCTGTGCATGTAGATACATTCAGTAAAAAACAAAAAGCAAACAAAAAACCAGTGTAATAATCGTACGTCTTTATATAGGTAAGGTCAGAGCACAGCATCATGTGACTTTTTTTTAAACATGGTAACAGAATTTTATACTATGAATACCTTGGATACAATACACAGAACAGGTTAGAAAAGTAATATAGTCATAGTAATTACTTTCATCTGAAGAAATGTTTCAGTCAGCAGTGTCTAGCAATAAAATAAAATGATCACCTTTAGCATATGTATTACAAAAACAATTGTCTAAAATAAGAATGGTTTAAAATACCTGGTAGAATATAAAACATTGAGACAAGAGACCACCTCTCTTCTCTCTCTCTCTTGCACCCTCTCTCTCTGTCTCTTTCACACACACACACACACACACACACACCACACACACTCTTCTCACACTTCACAGACTATGTTAACAGAAATTTACTTGAAATGTAGGGCTGTTTTTAAGGGAAAAAAAACCCCAATTAAGGATTTAGAATAAATACACTATTATAACCACTGTCTTTTTAAAAATGAGTTTTCTTTTAGCTTTTAAGGTTTATAGAAATCACTTATCTGCTCCTTAAAAGATTTTTATTCTTTTTTCCCTTCTCTTTTTTATAAGTATAGCGAATGTGAAACATCATTAATCCAGTCGTAATATCATCTGATAGTAGTTAATCCCTTCTTAGACACAGCTTTTCTCGGGCCTTTGGAATATAGAAATGTGCTTTTACTCTTAGGCATTTTATTTAAGCATCAACCTATTCTTAATTGTCTTCCGTAAAAGACCACCAAGCAAAGTGCATGATGTATTCAAAGTTCTTTCCTTGAGAGTCTGATGACATTCGGCAGCCTGTTATTTTGTCTGCTAAGGTCATGGATCAAGGGCAGCTTTGTGCCTGTGGTTTGGACTTGGCTATCGGCCCTGACAGGATGATGCAGCCCGCGCTGAGATCCCAATCGGTCAGAAAAAGTCTATTAAGTTTGAGCCCTTAAGCTGTCTCAGCCAAATCAGGGATACCAAAGTTACATTTGTTTTTGTGATGACCATTCATTTTGGTCAAATGAAGAAATTGCTCGTGTGGATTTTGTGGCTTCAGGGGCAAAATCTGTGAATGTCACGTATCTTTTAGCCTCTCTGCTTTTTCACAGACATTATTGAGAAGACGCTTATGAAAAAAATCATTTTTATTGCAGCTGTTTATAAGTCACCTTGATCATAAAAGAAAAGAGGCCAAAGAGAGGTAATTGGAAGCTCTTTCTCACAAAGTTGAGAAGGCCTGTGATCTGATGTATTGGGGACAAAGTGTATGTTGTGAGTGGTGTCTGACTTAGTCAATGGACAGGGTGGGGTCAGGACTTCACCTTGGAAACTCTTCATGCTTTTTCAAAACCAATGGTCTGGCCAGATCAGTAAAGATCTGAATCTGCCCTCTTAGATCCTAGATTCCTAGATTATAGCTGTATTACTTAATTTTTTTCATGGATAAAATAAAAAGTCTTTGGTTTTATAACAATGCTATTTGTGGATTTATAGCAGCCTGATCTATAGCAGTCACAAAGGCAGAATTAATTGTTCTGTCCATTTTCTCTTTTAAAATTGTTGAATTTTTAGTTAGCCAGTGAAAGGGTTTCCTTGTGATACAAATGTTGTTAATCTGGACTTAACTTTCTAGTAAGAAAAATACGTTAAATTTTAAAAGTGCATCCAGTATGTGCGTTGTATCATCTTACCAGGACCTTAGAACTTTAGTGTTTTTGTCAAAGGAGGCCTTAGTCATTACATTTTACAGATGAAAAACCTGAGGCCTGAGCAACTGTCTTGTCCTGGCAACTGATAGCAGAAAGATTATTAGAATCTAGTTTGACTCTCGTGAAAATGTTATTTTCACCACCAACTTCCACCAAAAGTTTTGTCACTTTTTGTGAGAACACAATTTTTCTTAATGTTCATTCTATCAATAATAAGAGGGTACATAGAATAATAGTTACTGTTTGGATCTAAAGTTAGGCTGACAACAAGGGCACACGATGGGGAAAGGATAGACTTTAATAAACGGTGTTAGAAAAACTGAATATCCACATGCAGTAGAATGAAATTAGACCCTTGTATAACACCATATACAAAAATCAACTCAAAGTAGATGACAGACTTAAGTATAAGACCTGAAACTTAAAAACCTCTAGAAGAAAACGTGGGAAGAAAGTTTTTGACATTGGTCTGGACAATGAGTTTTTGGATATGACCCCAAAAACAAGAAAGCAAAAGTAGATAAGTGGGATTGAATCAAACTGAAAATTTTCAGCACAGCAAAAGTAAAAAATAATCAACAGAGTGAAGATACAAGGAGAGAAGCTATTTGTAAACCATACGTCTGATAAGGGGCCAATGTCTCAAATATGTTTGTATGTATGCATGTATTTAGAGACATGGTCTTGCTCTGTTACCCAGGCTGGAGTGCAGTGGTGCCATAATATCTCACTGCAATCTTGAACTCCTGGGCTCAAATGATACTCCCATCTCAGCCTTCCGAGTAGCTGGGGGCTACAGGTGCATGCCACCACACTTGGCTAATTTATTTTTATTTTTTTGTGGAGATTGGGCCTCCCTGTGTTGCCCAGGCTGTTCTCAAACTCCTGGCCTCAAGCAGTTCTCCTGTCTTGGCCTCCCACAGTGCTGGGAATACAGGCATGAGCCACCATGCCAGGCCTCAATATCCAAAATATTTAAAAAACTCAACCCGGTGGCAAGAAAACAAATACACTAATTTAAAAATGGGCCAAGGACCTGAACAGACATTTCTCAAAAGAAGACATACAAATACAAATGGCCTACAGATATATAAAAAAATGTTCAGGCCAGGCGCGGTGGCTCATGCCTGCAATCCCAGCACTTTGGGAGTCCGAGGTGGGTGGATCATGAGGTCAAGGAATCGAGACCATCCTGGCCAACATGGTGAAACCCCATCTCTACTAAAAATACAAAAATTAGCTGGTCATGGTGGTGCGTGCCTGTGGTTTCAGCTACTCAGGAGGCTGAGGCAGGAGAATCACTTGAACCCAGGAGGCAGAGGTTGCAGTTAGCCGAGATCATGCCACTGCACTCCAGCCTGGGCAACAGAGCGAGACTCCGTCTCAAAATAAAAAATGTCCAACATCACTCATCATCAGGAAAATGCAACTCTATACCACAGTGAGATATCTCATACCTGTTAGAATGGTGACGATCAAAAAGATAAAAGATAACAAGTGTTGGTGGGGAAATGGAGTAAAGGAAACAGTTTCACACTGTTGGTAGGAAGGTAAATTGATACAGACCTTACAAGAAACACAACTCTATGTATGATCGAGCAATCTCACTTCTGGGTTTATATCCAAAGGAAATGAAATCAGCATCTCTAAGAGATATCTGGACTCCCATGTTCACTGCAGCATTACTCAAAATAGCCAAGGTATGGAAACCTAAGTATCCATGGACAGATGAACAGATAAAGAAAATGTGTTTTGTGTATGTATGTGTGTGTGCATGGGTATATGTTCTCACCACACACAAACAAAAGTAACTATACAAGGTGATGAATATATTAATTAGCCTGTTTGTGGTAATCATTTTACAATGTACACGTATATCAAAACATCATATTGTGTGTCTTAAGTGTATACCATTTTTATTTGTCAATTATACCTCAGTAAAGCTGGAAAAAATTAAAGTCGACTGATGTGAATTGGAGTACAGCTTGAACACCTGTAGAAGCTCAACTTCTCTGAGCCTCAGTTTTCTTTTTTCTTTTTTTTTTTTTTTTTGAGTTGGAGTTTCACTCTTGTTGCCCAGGCTGGAGTGCAATGGTGTGATCTCGGCTCACCGCAACCTCCACCTCCCAGGTTCAAGCTATTCTCCTGCCTCAGCCTTCCCAAGTAGCTGGGATTATAGGCATGCACCACCAAGCTCAGCTAATTTTGTATTTTTAGTAGAGATGGGGTTTCTCTGTGTGGGTCAGGCTGGTCTCGAACTCCCAACCTCAGGTGAACCGCCCACCTCAGCCTGCCAAAGTGCTAGGATTATAGGCGTGAGCCACTGCGCCCGGCCTGAGCCTCAGTTTTCTAACGTGTAAAATGGTCAAGATAATTGTTCATATCTCAGAAGTCTGTTTTAAAAATTAAATGCAAGAATGCATATGAAGTACTTCACACCAGACACAGCATCTTACAATTGCTCTATATGGGATGTCTACGACTGTGTAGCTTTCTGCCAACCTCTGCAACCTCAGCGGGGAAAAAACAAGTCTAAAGTTCTCCTAAGGAAAAGAAAGCAATGAGTATGATATGGAAAATAATACATTTTGTAAGATTGCATTGTGAGAACTGAAAAAGTGTAAAAATTATGGTATTTCAAATTGGCATACTATTATGTTACAGTACAGCTAGCAGACAGATGTAAAAATAAAGTACAGATGTATCTTTTTTTAGTCAAACCTGATATATGGAAATCTAGATTTAGAGAAAGATTGGTTATAGGGTCATTATTTGCTTTACAAAGCAATTTGGCATAAGGTTCCTTTAAAAGGGAACTTCCCTAGTATCTTTAATGTAATATTTCATTTACTGAAAAAAAGATCACACAACTTTACAGAAATTCATTTCATCCATAAAATGAAACACATCTGTTGAATGTATAGAGGAAAAATTAAAGTAGAGAGAAAGAGAACATTGAAAGTTAGAAATAAGTCAGGTAATAATACATATGAAAAATTAAGTAGCAAGGGAACTTGAAGAACTAGAACTTCACATTTTGTTATTAATAATTTTTAATAATACATATTCTTCATAAAATGTCTACACTGTGTGTGCGTATGAGAGAGAGAGAGAATGTGTGTCTGCTGTTACCTCTCCATTTGGCTTTAAGTTTTGCTCTGACCTGACTCCTTCCAAGCCCTCTAGACATTGGCACATGTGCCAAACCCAGCCATATGCACTGCCATCCTCTCAAGCCTCTTCAGTTTTGCACAGGTCAGTCTTTCTGCCTGAAGTTTCTCAATGCTCTGACAACCTCAGTAGTTAGCACCTATGTTTTTGGCAAGCTAGGCTTCTTCACTTTATCTGGTAATGTTCCTGGGATGGCATTCCATCTCCAGATAATCAGGGAACCCCACCCACTGCTAGACACTGGCCTACCCTCATCTTTACTCAGTTACTTTTGTAGAGGGGTATGATAGCACATAGACTTGGGAACACAACAGACTTGACTTTGAATTCTTGCTCCCTATCATACTTCTGGTTTGATCTGGGCCTTAACTGTTCTCTCGGAGCCCTGGTCTTCTTCACCAATACCCCTGGGATAATTAAAGTTATCTCATACTGTTTCTGAGAGGATTTGATGAAATATGTAGAGCCCTTAGCATAATGCTTAGGAAAAAAAACGTCGTGGCACAAACAAATGCTTATGTCTTTTTTTTATCATTATTACATTGTATTGTATCTGTTGACTTGCTCTGTTATTTACTTTGTTTTCCCCCATTAAACTATGAGTTACTTAAAGGAAAATATTGGATCTAATGCAGCTCACATTGCCAGGGCCCATCTGATTCATACAGAGTGGGCACCAGATACTTATTTGTGGAGTCTAACTGAGAAAAACACTAGAGCATATACTCTCTTGGAATATGCAAGTCCCAGAGTAAAGCTATGTACAAAAAGAGAAAGAATAAAGAAAAGAACAAGGGGGTAAAATAAAGTTGAAAGGGCACAAAACACTAGGGAACTCTCCCGATTGCCCCCAATTAATTAACAGGTGTTCTCTGGGAACATTTATTTAACCACGTTTGAGTCACCCTAATTACATAAGCCTTTTTTTTTTGGTCCACCAATATGTTATGCAATAATGTATTAAATATCTTGATGAAACAGAGCCATTCTCCCAACTATCTGGCTAGTCATTCTATAAAACAGAAAGGGAGCAAAAGGAAAAAAAAGAAAGAAATGAAGTAAGGGAGTGAGGTTAGGAGAGGTGGGAAGGAGAGAGAAATTGGTGTAATCCTGAGTAGGCCTTTGCTCACTTAAGGTGATTGCCACTTCTTTCTCTAAGCACAAACAACCCATGCTTGTGATAATCCATCCAGAATTTTGCTAGGGATATGTTCTGGATAGTTGTTTGATTTTGAAAATCGAAAGCTTTTCTTTCTATAGCCCACACTAATCCCTGATCAACCATAATTAGACTGTGATTCTAAAAAATTATTGGGAGGGTTTCCACAATCCCATCTGGACCGTTTTTTCAGTTCTTTCAGTAACCTGAGATATAATTTGTCTGGCCTGGAGCCTTGAACTCATCTGAAGCAGCTAGGTCATACTTTAGTATGTCTTGACTTATCTTGGGCCTCAGTTCACTCTTAACTCTGCTTGCTCTGCCCTCTCGGGTTTGAAGATCATTCTTCCTGATAGAGACCATAGAATCAAAATAGGAGTTGAATAGTTCTGTTTTCTCTGTGACATCTGTTAACATTTTGCTGTGTGCCCCAATCAATGTACCTATCCCTTTGTTGTTCTTCACAAACAGAGCTTAAAATAGCTTTCTGTTGTCCTTGGCAGTTTTTCAGCCTAAAGTCAAGCTTTAACCCTCCTGACAATATTCTTACAGCACTTTTTTATATTCGTTACCCATCATGTTTTCACCCTTCCATTTTGGATATATGTTCTTTTATAGTCTGCATTCAGTAGCTTTAAAAAGAGGAAAAGAATGTCCCTTTCATGTTATATCTTTTTGGCATAATCTGTGATTATTTTGTCTGAATTTTAAAAATAGTCTTATTTTCCCTTTAAAATTATTTAGTCATGAAATCATCTCTCCATTTTCTCTATTTTGATGACTGTTTTCCTAAACTCTAGGATAACTGCCTCTGTCCAGAATTAGTTTCCTGTGAAAATAACAAACTCTAAGATGACATGTCATTTCCTTCCAAGTTGCTCATCACTTTTAATTCACTAACCAAATCTCACTCCTTGTTCAAAATTAAATTCATGTAAAAATTCTCCAAATTGATCTCTCAGCCTTCTAAAGGAATGCAAGTGGCAGAAGGTAGGTCAAGAACTTATCAGAGGGTCTTCGTTTGAAACAGACTTCTGGCAGATGTTTAGGAGAAAAGTTTCCTGTCAATCATTTAACATCCCTCTGTACTACTTTTGTAATTTGCATTAGGAAGGCCTGGGGATGGTAGTCATTCCTTTTCTGAAACAATACCACTTTAACTTTACTCTCCTTTTAACCTAACGTACATGTATTCTAGCATATGCCCTCATTGGGGCCGTTCATAACCATTCTTCCTGGATTTAGAGTACTAAAGCCACATCCTTGTGATAAACTCTTTTGGGGCCATCTAAAATGTTACTCATAGAGCAGTGTATGTCTGTGAGCTGTTTATGATTGGTTTGCAGAAATATAAGTGCAGAAATGGAGAGTGAGCATGTAGGAATTTTTAAAGCAATTGACAAAAATAATCTGTATGTTAAATCTAATAATAAAAACTGAGGATTCAATATTGTATATATTTTTATATTCTTTTTCTAGTAATTTAGTCTTCTTGAATTGTACCAAAGTCCTGGTCTATAACAGATTGGAAATAAGGAAACCGGGAAGGATCACATATGATTCGGAAGCACTACCAGGGATGAGGCCCACACCTGACAAAGACTCTCTGTATATGTCAAGGATCTTATTTAGCTTTTTGTATTAAAGTTACACATTCATTGTATTATTCTTTTTTTTTTTTTTGAGATGGAGTTTCCCTCTTCTTGCCCAGGCTGGAGTGCAGTGGCACGATCTTGGCTCACCACAACCTCCGCTTCCCGGGTTCAAGTGATTCTCCTGCCTCAGCCTCCCAAGTAGCTGGGATTACAGGCATGCACCACCATGCCTGGCTAATTTTGTGTTTTTAGTTGAGTCAGGGTTTCTCCATGTTGGTCAGGCTGCCCTCAAACTCCAGACCTCAAGTGATCCGCCTGCCTCAGCCTCCCAAAGTGCTGGGATTACAGAAGTGAGCCACCGCGCCTGGCCCATTGTATTATTCTCACTCTGATAATTGTTATATATGAAGATACAGGACAAACACATTGGTCCTTTCCTGCCCATCTTCCTTGTGTTTTCTTCTGCAAAATCCTGGCCAACTTATTTACAATTTAATATTCTCCAAATAATACCTAATGATATAGTCTAATGCTGGATTTGAAAGCATTATTTAGATTTTTGCGCCTTTTTGGCTTGAAGTTTAAGTATAGTTTGCTTGGCCTTGGTATTTTTGGCCCCAAGCATTGCTGCCAGTCTTCAAAGAGCCACTTCTCCCTTTGCAGAAGACGCCCTTTCTACTATCAAGAACCATGTTGTAGACAAGCAGATTCTCTTTTGTGCCACCTACATATTTCCCAAAGCCTCCTTGTGTTCTCAGCTAAACTTGGCAGCAGATATCATCCTTCTACCACCTCTATGCTTGTGCCCTTCAGCTTCCTCCTTTGTCTTCATGCCTCTAGAAGGACAGTGACTATGTCTCCTAAAGACAGCACTGATTATCACACGTAATCACAGAAGACAGTGGAATCTTTCCACACATTTTATCCCAGGAAATTCGTTCATTCCCTTTAGTCTCATAACGTCGAAATATGAACTCATGAATGCCTTGGCAGGGAGCCAACCACACCCTCTCTCCTCTGCCTCTTGGAGAAGATGATAAAACTGTTCTAATGTGACTATCCTGAAAATCCTTTTTCTCCTGTATGGGACGAAAGGCAGGTTGTCATTGCCCTTATAGGAATTCACCAGTCATCATCCATGGAAGTAGATGATATAGAGTACATTACCCCACCAGTCTAAAATGTCTTTTAACCTTCTTCATACCAGATTCAAATTTTCTCTGGTTCTGCAGCAACATTTTTTTCTTCTACATTTCTTGTTGGGTTCTATTTTTTTTAATGTCATTACGATCCCTTCATCCTTCCTAATAAGCTGAAACCATAGAATGACACTCATCAAGTGTATTTACCTTCTGCTCAAGATAGAAGGCTCTCTGCATTTGCAGCATGCACAGTATTGAGGGCCTCAGGCAGCTGGACAAATGTCACAGAAAATTCAGTAGCATCGTCTCTGGTGCTAACTCCCAGACATCAACATACATTGCTCCCGTCTCAGCTTCCCTGATAAGGGATTTGCTGTTCCTTTTTATTGTTAGACTCCTGCTGCAGGATTGTGTGTGGTGGTGGTGGTGATGATGGTAGGTCCCTAGTAATGCTGCGACTAACCAGTGTTCTGCATGGGTTAGATATGCATGTTGTACAGACCACGCATTTAATTACTGAACTGCCTTTTTAAAACCAAAGAAGTGCCTACCTGGAAAGGTGACGTTTTCATTGCCTCTCATTTTTCTTTATTCCTCATCCTCCTAACATCTAGTTAAATCAATTGGAATATGATTAGAGGGCTGGGAAGATGAATGAGAAGTGGTTGATTGGAGTACTAAAAACTTTGTGGATTTGTGTAGACTTGGACCAGGGAGCTATAGAATTTGGGGGTACTGGGGGCCAAAGATTTCTGGGTCGAGGCCTGGGTCTCGGGTTCTTTACCCACAGAGGAGGGAAAACTCAAGCTCTGAACAGGAGAAAAGGAAATGATGCTCCTCTTCACATCTTCCTTCTATGAGTTCCTTATCCACTCATCTCACTTTTTACTCGCCTTGTTATCTCATGGTTTTCTGTTTCTTGGAACCAAAGGACAGCCAAAGCAGTTTGGATTTTAGCTCAGCTACGTGATGACAGACTTGGTTTTTATGGGCTAGCCTTGGAACCAAACTACTATTTAAATATTGTTTCTGTGGAAAAAAATCATTACAAATTTGAAAGAAATTTACAAGTTAACTTTTGGAATTAAATAAATTTGTCTCATGGGGGCTGACTGTACAAGATCCATTAAGTATTAGTAAATAGAAATACACACATATTAGAATGCTATATTTCAAGCTTATGATACCTAGTGTTCAATTTAGTATATTTTATTGTCAAAACAGATAAATAAAAATGTCACTTCATAAAAACAGAGACTATAATATTTTTAAAGTTTTTTTAAAAGAAAATTTTATGTAGGCCTTGAAGCTTCATTAGAGCTCTGTATTTAATAATGAAATGGTAAAAGAAGTATGAATTTTGGATGAATAGTTGCAAATCATTGCTATATACCCCCCCCAAATATTTTGTTTCAGCTTAAACATTTAGTTTAAAAATTGTTACAGAAAACAAAAAAAAATGTCTTATTTACAATTTCCAAAGAAGGGATGGGGCAAAAAAAAAAAAAAGTTCATCTATGTTATAAAAATATTATTTGAAAACTTTTATTATGCCTTTTTACAAGGCTGTGAATTTTCTCTCTTTTTTTTTTTTTTTTTTTTTTTTTTTTTGAGACAGAGTTTCGCTCTTGTTGCCCAGGCTGGAGTGCAATGGTACTATCTCGGCTTACTGCAACCTCCGCCTTCCCTGTTCAAGCGATTTTCCTGTCTCAGCCTCCTGAGTAGCCAGGATTACAGGAATGCGCCACCACGCCTGGCTAATTTTATATTTTTAGTAAAGACGGGGTTTCTCCGTGTTGGTCAGGCTGGTCTCGGACTCCTAACCTCAGGTGATCCACCCACCTCAGCCTCCCAAAGTGCTGGGATTACAGACATGACCACAATGCCCAGCCAAATGTTCTTCTTTAATGTGATTTTTTTTTAAATAAAATTCTCCATGTAATATATATATGTAAATCTGTGTGTATGTGCACATGTATATTTCCCAACAGAATTGCTAAAGTAAAAGTGATAAAGCAAAGATGATATCTGTTTCCATAGAAGTATCTTTCTGAAACAAAACAAATAAAAATTATACTTTATATCACTAGTAAAATTTAACTTGATTATCTGAAGACTAATTATATTAACTTCTATTACCTAAAGTGCAGTTTTATTCCCCACTCTAGTAATTAGAGGGATATTAATAGCTGTTATATTCTAATACTTGAGAGTCAAAATTGGTAATGTAGCCTCACTCTGCCCACAATTTAGCACATGGCAAATTAATGATACAAGAGATATTACAATATACAGTTGTCAAAATGTACCTGGAAGCTCTTAGAGGAATATTAGAACAACTGACGACAGGTGAAATAAAGAAAGTCTCAACTTTCTGAATTCAGGAGGATTCAGCAGAATTTCCTATAATGTCACTTTGGGCATTTAAAAATGTTTCCCGCAATTAGAATAGCAACTACAGGTGGAATAGATTCAAAACTGCTTACTAAGTTGTTTGTTATCTATTTCCCTTTGGTTTCCTGAGGCCACAGAGACAAGGAATTGGCCTGAGTTTTCACCTCAAAAACTAAAGCACATTAGTGGTGGCACCTTTTCAGGCGCTCCTGTGTCATTCCCTGAAAATCACAGACATGCCGTCCAATTAAAATTTTACTTTGTGGAAACCAAAGGAACATAGCCCAGGAGCACCTAGGAACCGCTCGTATGCTTGGAGAAGCTAAAAGACTTGCTTACATGGACCACAAGAGGCCTTCTCTGGCCCCTTGAAAATAAACATCTCTTTTGCATAGATGGTCTCTCATAGCTGCCAGTGCTCTGCCAAGGAGAATTGTTATTTTAAATGGAGACTCTTTCTGTATCTGCGGGAAGAATTTATATCCAGTCAGAGAGAATGTAGAGAGCAGTTCTTGTTGCCCATCACATTTTAGTGCAGGGAAGTGCTTTGCCCTAAAGGTGCCAGGTAAAGAGAATTGCCAAGTAAAGAAAATTTATTGAATGCATTTTCCAATAGGGAAGCATAATCTGACATTTTTGTTTCTCGGATCTCAGAAAAATAACTTTCCTCAGTTCTTATATCAGGTAGGAGGACATGCAAAGGCAAAAACGAACAAACAAACAAAAAAACCCATTTGGTCTTAGAATGCATTTATGTACATTTTCTTGTATTTAATAATGTTTTATTCATAATCATTTCATATGCTTTTCTTTTTTCAAATGTCTGCCTGCAGCACACGTCAGGATGCTGAATTTATTAGTGTTTCCTCTTCTCTGGTGCCCGCTCTCCTTGGAACCACATTATCGTGGGTCCATATGATTATTCCCTTAGGACTATCCACTTGAGAGTAATGCAATGGCCTCCACCTCCCAGCCTTTAGGACCGAAGTGATGGAGTTAAAGAATCGAACTTTCTCTTGAAAGCCAGTGGCAGCCCCACATCCACGTTAGGTTTGAGGGGTGGCTCTCCTCCCTGACTGGCTAGTAGGTGAGGTCCTTGGTATGTTCATGCCTTCTTACCTGAAGCCTCTCCCTCATTTTAATTCCAATTGATTTCACCTTAGTTGTGCTCAGATTTTGTGGGTTTGTTCAAACTGCTCTTGGGAGTAACACAAAAGTATTAACATTTTGCTGACTCCAGGACTTTAGAAAAGTTAAGCTTGAGTGAAAAACAAACTGACGGATTCAAATAATACAAACGCACCCAATTTCAAATCATATTCTCTCTTGCCTTGTCTCACAATGCTGGGCTGCCTCCCTTTACAACACAGCTGCAATCTCAACACTCCATTCCAACCCGCTCTGTGACAAAGCGTAAGGTTCCACCTCTGAGCAGGTAAAATATGTTTGTTAGGGAAGGACTGCTCGGCAGTAAGGATGACAACAATTAGCACATGCTACTCATTAACAAACGGAGATTAGAACGCAGCCGAAATGGCAAGCTGCCATCAGTGTGATAGTTACGGGGCAGTTTAATTTCTAACGAATGTGAGTGCTGGATCAGTAACAATATTCGACAAAATGCCGCCTGCATTCTCTTATGGCTTTCATTACCAAATTGAAAATCTGTGTAGATTTCTGAAAATTACTTTTAAATGTAGCCAATCTCCTAGACTGCAAGGCTTGATTTGCTGGTGAGGGAGCCCTGCTGTGAGATTTTAATGAAAGATCATAGTGGCCCTCCAAGGCCAGCAAAGAGCTATGGGCCCTGGAAGACCCGAAATAATCTGTTTTACTTTTAATGGCAGCCATTTTATATTCATTAAGATCAAAATGCAGTTTTGCAGGCAAATTGCAAAGCTGTTCCACTCACAGCTTGAGAACCTGGAGGCCCTACAGCTTTTTATCTTGTTCATAAGCAAATATGCAGTTAATATCTTTTAATATGCTTTGATGCTTGGTACCTTATGGGTACATCGTACCGGAGGTTAGAGAACTGCATGTTTCCTTGGCACAGCCAGCCACGAACTAAAGCGGTAGTCCTTTTATTTCCATAATGGCAGAAGAAATGAGTCTCTCTTTTTTTATCCCCTCCCCATTTTTTAAAAAATATGAGCTCTGCTCAAATAGATTGTAAGGTGCTGTATAGTGTACATTCAGGGTCTCAGAGAAGGGGCAGTTTTTCACTGGGATCTGTCTGTTGGTGGTTCATATTATTTAAATTTATACAGTCACATTATTTAAATGTAAACAGCCAAATAAGATATGATCAAATCATTGGCATCTGGAAACTGTGCTCTCATCCTCTTTGATTGTGAGGTTGTCTGCATTAATAATGGAGTTCTAAAGACTGTGATTCCACCTGATATACTGTATGACCTTAACAGTTGTGATTTTATCAGGGTTTCACTGTAGTAGAAAATGAAGGTATTTTGCAGCTCATTTCCAGCAAACCTAGTTTGCATTATCTTCTGTCCAGAGTAGTCCTGCCTGTTTTGTGTTATAAAATATCACCTCCCCCATTGCCCCCTTTCTGCTGCACAGCTGTACTTCCGGTCTGGAACCATGTTGTAGATTAAATTCCATCAGATTTCTTGTAGAAGGTAAATGGTACTGTGTTTAATGACAAAAGAAGGAAGGAAGGAAGGTCAGGGAGGAAGGAAGGAAGAGAAGTCAGTAAGGTGGGGAGGAAGGAAGGGGGGAAAAAGAAAGGAAGGTGGGATTGAGAGGGGAGAGAAGGAAACACTGCACTTCCTCCTCCAATTCATCAATTTCTATCTCATCTCTAAGACAAGAAATAAGGTTGATGCAAGTGGATCTTATTACTCAACCCCCAACTCCATCTTAATTCTGCCTAAAGCAATAGGCAGGCGTTAGATATAATAGTCTAGAATCACAGGACTCTCCAATACTAACAAAAATAATATTTAAGGGGTACTTTTTGGTAGAAAAAGGACCAGCCAGGTCTATTTCAATTTGCCCAAAGATTTGGAGGCTAGGCCAACAACAAACAGAACTTTTGCTCCTTTACCCAAATTATCTTGGTTTTTGAATGCACCCAGGGCGTCAAAGTCAGTCTTAGAACCAGGGCGGGAATGGGAACCCTTTTTGGTGGGAGCAAAGCTTTCCATCACTATGCAGCATCAGATGAGGGTGTTGTGCTTTTTTTTTTTTTTTTTTTTATTTCACTCTATAGCCATTGAAATTTTAGCCCTCTTGAAGAGCACTGTAGGGCTAGCTAGTTTAAGAATGGGAGTTAGCTTCTTTATGCAAGTTAATACCCATTGTGCTGTCTCTAAAAAATAATGTACGTTAAGACAGCTCCACAGAAAGGCCAGCCTTTGTATCTCCAGGCCCGCCCAACCTTTGTACTTAACCGTGCCCACAGGCATATTATAATATTGTATGACATGTTTACAAGTCCTAACATCTTACTTTGTGCAACTGCATAGCTTCTTTGCAGGCTCAAGAATTCAAGCTTGGACTGTCTGATGAGGGAATTTGATAACCCCCTCTCCCTGGGTCTCAGAGCAAGGTGAAGGTGTCTGGCCTGCCAAGGCACAATTTAATGGTCTTCTGAAAACACTCAAAAGGCAGACATAAATGTGTGGATGGGCAGCCAGCCAGGCTGACCTGGGGGATGGGGCCAGTTGATTTTAAGCAGGGTGAGGTCGGGAAGGAATGTTTCAGACCAGAGCTGGCTGCGGGGGTTGGGGGTGGAGGCGGTCTCTGGAAGCCTGAGGGTTGACTGTAAAGGATTTACAGAGCTCGAACTCGACTCTGTAACCTAAGAGCTCAAGCATTCCCACCTGTCCAACTTTAAAAGGGAAATGGAAAATGTAAAGAACATATAATTAATTTCAATTACAAGCCTCACATATCTCAAGCCAGATAGGCACTGTCTTCATTTCCTGTCAGTTCAATGGGCTCCAATACAAAAGTCACGTAAATTAAATTAAATTAAATTAAAACATAAAATTCCCTCTCACACATCTCTGTTTTCTATTCTTAATGCCTCTTGACAGTTAGTCTTTGATATGCTACTTTTTTTTCTGCACAACACATATACTTTAGATGTCGATTTCCAATCAGTCTTTCATCTTTATGTTGCATCATCCACTATCATGGGACAACTATATATCAAGAATCTTTGGAAAGATGACCAGAGAAGGAATGGGAATACACTTAAACATGAGAGGTTTCATCTATTGTTTATTTACAACTTTATTTCAAAATGATCCCATAATTTTATAATACTTTTTTTTTTGCCTATCTTTGGTATTTTCAATAATAATATGGAAACTTTTCTAGGCTTAATAACCTGGTTTTATTTTGGCTCCATAATTACCTTGCTCTTTTTTTTTTTTCCTCTCCAAAGACATCTCAACGTGTGCTGTGTGGTGTCATTGGCCACAAAGGGGTCACTCTCTCACAGAAGGTGGATTTGCATTTTCATCCAGTGCAAGGGAGAAAGTAATATTGCACACTATTTTCACATACCCATGGTATCAGCAGTGGTGTTACATCACTGCAAGTTGAGCTCTGTGTAGATTCCTAAAAAGGAGGTGTACGTGTGCTGCGGGGGTGCAGTGAAGAATAATGTCACCCTCAGTGAGACTCCGTCAGGGAAAGTGGGAGAGAAAACAATCTTCATCAAAGCTTTTTGCTATTTGGATTTCCTTCGGCTGCCTATTATCCATCAGAATATTAGAATCCATACATAATGGAGTTCCTTGGCTCCTACGCAGTGATGTCCTTACGCATGCAAAAGGAAGTTGTATCTTGCAAATTCCTCCAAAAAGGTTATCAAAATTGCCCTGAAGGGTTGACACAGTCCTGACAGGGATTGTTTTGAAGGATGATGTTATTATTTTTCATTGGTCATTCCACAAAAGTATTAGTAGAAAAGAAAAATTCAACACCTGTCCCTCGGATCTTATTTAGCAAAAAAAAAATACAACAAGATTTCACTTTAACAGGGTCTTTCAGGCAGAAAAATACAGCAGTAACATGTGTAAAGAAAATTTCAATATGTTTTGACAATAGTGTAATCTAGAGGAAGTGTTATCCCCCTTGTGGAGGTCATCATTCTTAATACAGTGTGTGTCATCAATTCTCAGGACAACAGAGAAAATGATCTAGTCAATACATATGAAACAGAAATCATGCATAAACATGCTGCCTTACTATAAAGTGGGTGACACCACTGAAAATTGGATAGCAGGCCTGGATGCAATTTTCCGTAACTTTTTATTATTCATAAGATCGTGTGATCTAATAAGCCACACCTCAAATTACTGTCCATTGAAGGTGTTCTTGAGTGATAGATTTTGACAAACCAGACAGAGGATATATTATGATTAAGATCAGATGCTGGTAGTGCTGGACTTTCTGCTGCTGCTGACTGTTTTCAGCTGTCTTCCATCAATTCTGTATTTTTCCCCCTTAAAAAAGTGAAGAAGCATGAATCCGTGGGCTATGAAAGCATAAGAGAAGAAATCTACTAACTGATTATTCAGTAGCTCTGATTCCAAGTGTCTCTCAATTTAACTTTGATTTTAGGTGGGGGAGGATTGATTTGAGAAAGAACAATGAGGAGGAGGGACATAATATCTGAGTTGAAGGAGACAAATATCCGAATCTCCCATTTAAGTATTTGTTAGAAATACATGGAACTTTAAAGTGGCAGGCTCTTTCTTAAATATTTAAATGGTCAGGGGGAGGAAAAAAAGGTAACACTGCCACCAGCAGAAGACCAACACACCCAAGACGACCCAAACCTTTGCCTAATCACTTTTTGTTAAAATTAATGGTAGGTTTCTAATTAAGCGGCGTGCCTCTGTAAAAGCTTTTAAAAGCTTTTTTTCTTCTTTCTCTCTCTCTTCCTTTCTCCCTTCCTCCCCCTTTTCCTTCGTTCCTTGCTTCTTTTCTTCCTTCCTCTCTCTCTCTTTTTTTCTTTTTTGTCCTGTTAAATAACTCCTATGGTCTAGGTCTGTGAAAAGGACTCTGCCCCTTTAATTCATCAAATGCAGAAAAACTGGCGTAGCCAGTATCTACAAGCCACATTCCAAAGGGAGATGTTTTCAATTCACTCATTATAGAAAGGTCAGTCAGGTTCAAGTTCAATGTCATGGAAAAGAAGTACTCTCTACAAGGAGTACCACCCACACATGAAAAAGTGGAGGGAGAATTAGATGAACTATGTAACCTAATTTTTTGGGCAAATACAAGAAAATTAGCCCTGTGTGCTATTTGAATTTAAAACTACATATTAACAATTCAGCTGTAGAAGGTGACAGCAACCACAACAAAGTAAACACGCTCTCCAAACCACTCGGCCGTAATGATGTTATTAGTATGCATGTTGCTGAGCCCAGATGTAGCCTTTAGCAGCCCAAGCCCTTCCAGTGCTTTTTGTTCTAATGGCTTCAGACTCTTTTTCAAAATGGGGCACTCAGAACCCACCACGAATAGAGGACAGGATCAGAGGATAATTCACACTGGCAAATGGGACATGACCGTCACGTCCGTCTTCACCACATCCCATTGTCTGCCATGATAATAAATGATATCTGCTGGAAGACAACAAAGCACCTGTGAAGAATCGTGGGTTAAGTGGAACTGAGCCTGTGCTGAAACTGAGTTCTGAGAAGTTGTTCCTTTAGGTTGATGGCAAAACAGTTGCCTGTAGATGGGAGAATGAGGCCGCACTAGCGACCTCTCCTGAGTTCTCCCCTGAGTGAATTTCCCCATTGGAAAAAGGATGTGCTGGCCTTCACTTACATGTGCTTGAATAGAAAAATTGTATATATACAATCATAGCCTACGTGCATTCAAACCAACTGCCCAGTCATCTGCGAGAGCCTTCATCTTTATGTTAATTTCTGCATTGCTGCTGCGGGAGTCTTTGAAATGTACAAAAATATGCAAAGAAACCCTGACATTCAGAACATAGAACCTTCAGAAACCACACCAAAAAACAGTGTCTTGGATTAATCTGTTATTCGCTGTTACAGTTAAAGTCAACCGTTTTATGCCATTGTTTTGAATTCCTTTCTTACATATAGTCATTCTCTTTTTAAAATTTTTATTACTATAGATATGTAGAAACAGGAGTTAGGACTGTTTTCTTTTTGAATCAGAAGTAGGTAAACACCGGTAAAGCTGAGAGTGTAGGCTGTGATTTAGTGTAGGTTAACATAGTGCAGAGGGTATTCTGCAATAAAATTTTAAATTAGGGGGAATATATTTACCTCCTGTTGTGTGTGTGGCTTATGAACTATAGGTTTGATATTTGGCAGAATGTGTAAGAACTGATAATTAGGTATGTGTGTGTAGGTAGTGACATTTGTTTAAAACAAAGTACTGTAAAACTGAATTCATTTATGCCTCTTACTTTGTTCAGCTTCTCATAGACAAGTAATAAAATATACCAATAATATCTCACTTTACAATAAGCTTTAATTATAGAGACACCTGATAAAATGCAGATGAGCTATCTGTTCAGGAGCTGTGTGAATTCTAATAAATAGAATTGGTTTTGTGTGTGTATGTCTGTGTGTGTGTGTGAGAGAGAAAGAGTGACAGAGACAGAGACATACATAATAGTGCTGAGATTTTTTGATGGTGGGTTTTTTTAATTTGCGAAATTTTATTGGCTCAGATTATATGTAATAAATTAGAAAAGGCTAGCACATAATTTGTCTTTATTTGAT